>NC_000014.9:78399591-78551106 GCF_000001405.40 Homo sapiens | reverse complement strand
TTGTGTTCTCACATATATTATTTACTCTCATCTTTAAACCACTGTATGAGAAAGGTCTTGTATCCCTTATCATATGGATAGAGAGATTGAGGCACACAGAGATTAAAAGCTTACACAAGGTCATTAACCCTTAATTAGTGTCAGGTCCAGAGTTTGAACCCAACCAATCGGACTCTGCAATACTCATGCTCCACCATTGCACTGTATTGACTCCTAAGGCTTTATATTTCTTATCTCATTTATTTCTTATAACAGCATGGCAGTATAGATATGTGTTGCTGTCCTCATTTTATACTTAGGCTCAGGGAGGTCCCAGGAACTACTCAAGTTCTTATTGTTGGTATTTGGGTGAAGCCTAGACTTATCCTCTAAATCTCCAAACCCGGAAGTCCTGTGCTACCTACAGTCCAACCTTTAGGCCAGGCAAGATTGCCCTCATACATCCCGGGCAGAGCTTCCAGTCCCTTATGTAGAACATGTTGAACCTTACTGATAACACCCTGCTCACACAAAAATACATTCTCAACTGGTGCTTGCCTGAAATTCTGGCATGAATTTTTTTTTTGTTTTTACTATCCCTCAGATTTTCTTTTAAAACACAATTATCATAAAAAAGTTGTCATTTGAACTTTACTAATAATTGAGTGTGAGTGATTTTAGGAGGTAGTCACTTTTAGGGCACCAACTCCCATATTGCACCATGGGTTCATTGGGGAGAAGTGTCAAGGAGAAACCAAGAGAAAGAAAGGGTCATAGAAGTAAAAGTTTGCAGAGCCAGCCAGGCATAGTGGCTTGCAGCATATCATCCCAGCACTGTGGGAGGCAGAAGCACGTGGATCACTTAAGTCCAGGAATTCCAGCCTGGGAAATATGCTGAATCCCTGTCGCTACAAAAATTACAAAATTTAGCCAGGCGTGGTGGCACATGACTGTCGTTCCAGCTACTCAGGAGGCTGAGGTGGGAGGATCACTTGAGCCTGGGGAGGTTGAGGCTGCAGTGTGCTGTGATCGCACTACTGCACTCCAACCTGGGTGACAAAGTGAGATCCTGTCTCAAAAAAAAAAAAAAAAAAAAAGTTTGCAGAATCAGATTTGTCTCCTCCTCTAGGAAAAGTCTTTAGTAAGTTGAAAGATCCTAGAGGTGCTTTTTTACTAAGTTACTAAAAGGGATAGTAATGATGATAAAGTATCGACAGTGGGAGGAGCTTGATGTTCAAATGAGATTAGAATGAATAGATGAGAGAAAAGGAAGGAGTAGGCCAGGACCCAAGGAAGAAATGAATACTGGAATGAATGCACTATGAATGCATAGTAAACTAAAAGTTCACTCAGCATTCACACAACATGCTCACGTAGAGAAACAAGAGCTGGGAGGGTAATGGAATTAGAGGAGAAATGGCAAAATTAGATAGCAAATCATGAAATGATATGACCAACATCCATGGTAACAAAACATTGCTCAGTTCATCCATACATTTATTTTTTTATTCAAAAAATATCCACTGGGGTCACCTGTGCACCATTCACAGCTAGAGGCTGAGCACATCGATGAGGCACTGACAGTCTAATGGGAACACCAGAAACTTGAGCAGATAATTATCTCAAACAGCACTGTAAGCTTGGTGATCAAGATTCACACAGGTTGTTGTGGCAGTTTGGTGAAGGGGAGCATGAGCTCGAGAAAGGCTTCTTGGAGCAGTTGACACCTGAGCTGAAATGTAAAAACTAAGAGTAATCAAGTGAACAAAGAGAAGGAGAAGGGCCTTCAGGAGAAATGACATAGCAACAGCAAAGGCATAAAGGTGAGAACTCAAAATAGTTTGGATAAACGAAGACTCATTTACTAGGTGCAAAACATGGTCCTGAATCCTGTACAAACTTGAAACAGTGAAGGACAAAGCATCCTCTTGGTAAGAGTATGAAACTGTTTAGGTTGGACCTGGCTTCTCTAAATGAAAAAATAAAATCTATGACAGCACACCAAAAAACATCCCAAAACAACAACATGAAAAAACTGGCCCTCAAATCTTCGCTCGCTATTTCCATGTCAGAAAGGGGGAAAGAGGAAGCTGAACAATGTATAGTCTGGGAAGTGAGAGTCCTGGTCCCTTCTCCTCTTCTGATTTCGTTGGGGCAGATGTCACAGGGATGCAGGAACAGATGCGGAGAAGAGAACAGGTCCTTCAGTCCTAGGAGTGAAGAGACTGTGACAGCTGGAGGTTCTTCAGGTCTTTGGTAGAGTGGGCTCCTAGAGCCCCTGTGGTTTGGGAGAAGGGACCTGGTCTTGGGTAATGGAACAAGCATTTGATGGGAACGTGCAGAGAGCCCTACAGGGCGAATCAGAATTACATGAAAGAAAAAGGAATAGAATACGTCTAGTGAGGGGAATGGATGGGCAAACAACAGAGGAATGTGCAAAACGTGTGCAGGGGACAATGTAACAACCAGTTGGGATGCAGTGTAGAACAGGTAAAAAGGGAGGGGGCAACGGAAAAGGGTTTGGGAAGGATTCTAGAAGAAGCAGGCAAAGAATTTAGATTTATCCTCTTAAAAGCTAGGCACCTGACTTCTGAAGTGCAGTTACATACAGTATGTGGAGTTTATTTTTTAAAAAACTTCTGTCTATCATCCATTTCCCCTTTCAGCTCAAATTTGAGCAATCACCTTTGTTCCACTTGGTAGAGTCTAGTGGGGCCGTCCTAAGAAGCTTTTATCTCCCTGTCCAAGTCATGGGAAATGATCCAACCTATAGCTCAAAGCCACCTTCTCTGAAATTTGAACCTTGAGAACTAAAAATGGTTAATTATTGATAGAATAAAGAAGTGATTGATATTATATACTTATATCCAGATAGCTTATCAAAGTATCTTATTCATTCTGTAAGTTTTTAACTAGAGTTGTTTAAATTTCTTGATAAGGAATTATAGTATCAGCAAAAAGAGATAGTTTTACCTCTTCTGATATTTACACCAACTATTTTACTTTTCTGTTTTATGGCCTTGGAGGCTATAGCAAATGCAATGTTTAATATAGATAACAAGGGACATCCCTAAATGCATTCTAATTTTAACTAAAATGATCTCCATGTTTGTTAAATCTGTTGCTGTTTTTAGTAAATAATCTTTATATATCTAAGCAATCATCTTTTATTTCAATTTTACCTGAACTGTATTAATAATGCCTGCTGAAGTTTATCAAAAGCTGTTTCAGCCCTTAATGACATGAATGTATTTTTCTTGTTTAATTAATTAAAAATATTAGATTGACAGTGCTCTTCCTACTGATTTATATATAAAATATACAAAATCAGTACCTTTTCTCAACTCTAGTAACAATCACTAAGGAATAGAAATGAGAAAAATATTTCTATTTATATCAGCAAAAGCTTTAAAATATTTATAAATACATCTCCCCCAAAAATTTAAAAGACAACACAAAGAAAATATAAATATATAAAAGATATAAATTAATTTCTGAATGAAGAGGAAACATACTATATTTTAAATTTATGGAGTAATTAGTATGAACATGGCAATTGTCCCAAAATTAACATATTGATTTAATACAACTTCAATTAGGATCCCATCGGCTACTTTAATTGAATAAAATAAACATAAATTATACATAAAAGTATGAATGCCTGGAAATTGGGAGGCCGAGGAGGGTGGATCACGAGGTCAGGAGATAGAGACCATCCTGGCTAAAATGGTAAAAACCCATCTCTACTAAAAATACAAAAAAAATGTGGTAGCGGGCGCCTGTAATCCCAGCTGCTTGGGAGGCTGAGGCAGGAGAATGGCATGAACCCAGGACGGGGAGCTTGCAGTGAGCTGAGATCTCGCCACTGCATCCAGGCTGGGCGACAGAGAGAGACTCCGTCTCAAAAAAAAATAAATGAAAAAAAAAGAGCAATGACAGAAGACTGGACTTCATAGATATCAGACATTATACGACCATGATCATCAACTCAACAAAAAATGCTAGGAATAGATGAAAAGATCAGGGAGCAGACAGACAATCGAGAAATAAACTCTGGTATATGTGAGAATTTAATAAATGACAAGAAAAGTAATGTAATTCAGTGGGAAAAGAGTGGCTTTTTTCATAAATAGTCCTGGCCTAACAAATAAGAGGAACTATAATAAGAGTGGATTTCAGTGCCAGATTCCCAGAGTTCAAATCCCACATTCACCACTTGACCTCCTCTGTGACCTTTGGGCTAATTACTCAATTTTTTTGTGCCTCATTTTCCTCAAGTGTAAAATGGATATGGTAAGAAAACCTATGTCTCAGAGTTGTGAGGGACAAGGCCAAGTCAGCGATGCAATATGTGGAAAGTGCCTATATAACAATGCTTACCACATAGCAGCAGTAAGTGTTAGCTATTGTTATTATCATTATCATCAGGAACAAAGTAAACATGGACCTCTAGCATCTATAAACACAAAAATAAATTTCTAAATGGATTAAGATTTAAATATAAAAAATGAAAACAAAGATTTAAAAAGAATCTTAAAAACTAAACACACTTTTTAAAGGTGGGGACGGGGAAAACATTCTCTACGAAGACTGGAAATTAGAAGATGTGAAAGTTAAAAACAGACATCTAACTACATTAAAAAGTAACATATTTGATGGCAAAATATACCCTAAACAAGGTAAACAAATATTACTATGGAAAGACAAGAAAAAGACAAATATCTCCATTGTAGAAACAAGAAGTCATGAATAGCCCATTTACAGAAGTGCTCAGCTAAATGGCCTACAAACAAATGCAAAAATGCTCAGATTCACTAACAGTCCGAGAAATGCAAATTAAAATAACAATGAAATATCACTTTACACTTCTCAGCTGGCACAATTTAAAAAAGCAATAATTCGTATCACTATCAGGGATGTGTGAAAAGGGTGTGCTCATACATTGCTTGAGTATGTGAAGTGTTACAATGTTTTGAAAAGCCATATGACAGTATTTGTTCATATTTAAAATACATATCCTCTTCTATTTATCAACCCCATTCCTGGACTGCACCAGATATAAAAGCACCAGTGCAAATACACAATGATATTTATTGCAACATTGTGCATGGTAGAAAAAAGTAAGATGGAAATAAAATTATAATTTACAGGAAGGAGAATACCACATATATAACATATCATCAGACTGGAATATTATGCACCCATTAAAAAGAGTGAATTAGAGCACTGCCTTTTGATATGAAAAAATTTTTATAAAGTAATGTTGAGCAACAGAAGCAAAATATAGAAAGAGAAACACAGGACTGATTCCAGAAAGTAGAGTTCCTGAGGGAAAGAGGAAAAAGAGATTGCAAAGTGGCACACAGCAGGTTCTAAGGCACTGGTAATTCCCTATTTCTTTAATGCAGTGGGTAGATAGACATACTACAAATGTTTGCTTCATTATTATTTAAAGTACCTAAATATGTTTTAAACTTTTTTGTATTTATTCTATGATGCACAATAGTGTTCTTCTAAAAAGAAAATCAAGATGCAAAATAAGTATATAATATCCCATTTTATAAAACAATGACCTGAAAAACTTGTATACATTTCTATATGTATAAATTATATGTGTATAGAGAAAAATGTGCCAGGATTTATACTAGGTTATTAATATGAACTATCTTGGAGTAGAGTTAGGGGACCAACATGGACAAAAAGGAGAAGAGGGGAGACATCAAACAAAAATGGAAAGAAAAGAATACACTTAGGAAAATGTACTGAAATCATATGTACACATTTATGTAAAGTTGTTTGTGTGTGTGTTTAAAGTAAATTAAGAAACAAAATTTGAAATCAAAAGAGAATTGAGAGAGGAGCCTAGGTCTTGCCCTCAGAAACCACCTTCCTATGTTTCCTTTTGACCTCAGAGCACAGGGTGCCAGTTAGCAATGCACCCTATTGCTCCTGTCAGTTCTGGTTCTCCCAGACTGTCCACCTTCCTTCTAAAATTTACAAGAGAACAACCAGTTCATCAGTACTACCAAGGTTAAATTACATCTATAGGAATGCCAATAAAACAACATCTAAAACTATCATGAAAGAAGAAACCAATGGAAATGAATTTTAAAGCTAATCAGGCTCTGCTGCAGCCTGAGAAAGTGCAATAACAAAAGAATGCTTAGTTGCCAAATTGAGAACCCAACTCCTGTTTATTCCCAGAATCTCCCTGCTGTCTCTTGGGCAAACCTCTCCCCAGTCACCTCTCTGTTGCCACCTCTACCCATGCTGTAGATGGAACAAGTTGCAAGCAAAAGTTCCTAATATTTCAGATTTGGCAGGTCATGCATGTGTACCCTCCCAAGAAGATTGCAACTCTATGCAGTCCTCATGAGCACATCCTTCTCTGAACTATTTTTCTTTTCCAGTAATGTGTTGCCAGAGAGCTGGATGATGTGAACAAGTTTGAAGTAAGAAGGAATACATTTCAGTCTATTAACTATGGGACCCTGGTCAAGTCACGCAGCCTCTATGAGCCTTAACTTACTTGTTAGTAAAAGCATGAATTCCACCATGTAAGTTATATAAAGTCTAGGGCTATTTGGGAATTGAATAAAATAGCCCATTTGAATGGACTTTTCCCGATTATAAAGTTCAACTCTCCATCAGCATTTCCCCATCCTTTTGATCCATGGAAATAAGTACTCAGGCAGGGGTTTGTTCACTTTGATGTCCATGGTGCTACTTTTCACTGTGGGCAGCTAAGTGACCTACATAGGGATCAAATCCAGCACTTTGGCTTCATTTATTAACACTGCATGCCTACAAGTTAAGATTACCATGGTCTCAGTGAGGAGAGATGCTAGAATGGAGAAGGTGTATGAGACACCTCTTGTGCCCTCATATCCTCTCTGTTCACTTTTGCATGCCAGCTGCTGCAAAGAGGTGCCTTTGGTATAACTTGATAGCATTTGCCTGAGCTGTATCATGTATCTCTCATGGTGTGCCCCAGGGCTCCTCTGCTATCAGCATGCAGGAAGCCTGTGGGAACCTGCAGGGCATCTGAGTAAACCTGGAAATGTAAGACAGTTAATGCCCCATGAAGTAATCCTTGGCCAAGGGGAAATGGGAACAGTAAATACATTCTGCCTTATTCCATCTTTCAGGCAGAGAGTTTTAATATTCATTCTATGCACCTCCCAAGAGAGTCCCTAGTGGCACTGAGCCTCAGTGGTCCATCATAATATTCTGTATGATAGAAAACACACCCTTGATTCCGGCTTTGACTTTTTTGTTGTTTTACTCTACCCTGAAGAGGCTACCTGCACTCAAGACCCTTTTGAAGGAAACTAGGCTAGGATTAACGAAATGAGAAATAATTCCCATAAAAGCATTGATATCCAAAGAAAAACAAACATGTAACAATAACAACAACAACAAAGTCAACAGCAATGTAATAAAAGGCCAGATTGCAAAATGGATAACTCATCACTGAGGTCAGCCATGGATTACTCTGCAGTGTTTATCTTAACCTCACTAAATTGGGTAATGCCAACTCTCTCCAACCTCCCTGTACCTCCACAGACCCCCACCAAGAGAGATGCTATGCTTATTTAAGGGTGAGTTCTGGATCCCAAGGCTCCAAGTCTCAGCTCACCTGAGACCCCAAGGAGCACCATTATTGCAATTGATATGATTAGTGCTCAAAAACACTTCTGCAACAATTGTTAGCACTGAAATTGGACATCAAGCTGAAGCAGTTTTCAATATGTTGAGGACACCTGTTAAAATCCAAAAGCTCAAGACTTCCTCTCTAGAAAAGTGTACATATGCATTAAGTTTTACATAAAATATCAGGAGGTTTATGGACTTTATGGACTTCATTTATGATCTCAGATCATGAATGCATCAATTCATACAAATTTAGAGATTATAGGAAATGGACATCTAGCCATATTGCCTCTACCCTTCCCAGGCCTTACCTGGTGCTCAGATAACCATCACCTTGAATCAGGGCAGCCAGCTTAAGAAAATCCCTAATTAAACCAACACTATAAAGTCTGAGTACCTATGAGGCTACAGTGGCCCTCTAAATCTCATAGTATGCCAGATATCCCCACTTCTACCCCACCTAAAGTGACCTCAAGCCCTAAGTTTAGTTCTGGAATCAATGTGATGATCCTCTCCTACCCACCCTGTCTCAAATCCACAAAGTCCTCTGACAAAATCAGTCAGATGACATTCCCATAGCCCCTACCAACTCAAGCACTCCAACAGGTATTTAGAAAGGTATTATTTTAAGAAAAGAAATCTGGAGTGGGTATTCCAAGATGGCCAAATAGTAACAGCTCCAGTCTGCAGCTCCCAGTGTGATCGATGCAGAAGATGGGTGATTTCTGCATTTCCAACTGAGGTACCTGGTTCATCTTACTGGGACTGGTTAGACAGTGGGTGTAGCCCATGGAGGGCAAGCTGAAGTAGGGTGGGGCATCGCCTCACCCAGGAAGTGCAAGGGGTCAGGGGATTTCCCTTTCCTAGCCAAGGGAAGCCATGACAGACTACCTGGAAAAAACGGGACACTCCCGCCCAAATACTGCACTTTTCCCAAGGTCTTAGCAACTGGCAGACAAGGAGATTCTCTCCTGTGCCTGGCTCGATGGGTCACACACCCACAGAGCCTTGCTCACTGCTAGCGCAACAGTCTGAGATTGAACTGCAAGGTGGCAGCCTGGCTGGGGGAGGGGCATCTGCCATTGCTGAGGCTTGAGTAGGTAAACAAAGTGGCCTGGAAGCTCAAACTGGGCAGAGCCCACCACAGCTCAAGAAGGCCTACTGCCTCTAGACTCCACCTCTACACTCCACATCAGCTATGGGCAGGGCACAGCTGAAGAAAAGGCAGCAGACAACTTGTGCAGACTTAAACGTCCCTGTCTGACAGCTCTGAAGAGAGCAGTGGTTCTCTCAGCACAGTGTTTGGGCTCTGAGAATGGACAGACTGCCTCCTCAAGTTGGTCCCTGACCCCCGTGTAGCCTAACTGGGAGACACCTCCCAGTAGGGGATGACAGACACCTCATATAGGCAGCTGCCCCTCTGGAACGAAGCTTCCAGAGGAAGAATCAGGCAGCAATATTTGCTTTCCTGCAGTATTTGCTGTTCTGCAATATTTGCTGTTCTGCAATATTTGCTGTTCTGCAGCCTCTGCTGGTGATACCCAGGCAAACATGGTCTTGAGTGGACCTCCAGCAAACTCCAATAGACCTGCAGCTGAGGGACCAGACTGTTAGAAGGAAAACTAACAAACAGAAAAGAATAGCATCAACATCAACAGAAAGGTCATCTACACCAAAACCCCATCTGTAGGTCACCAACATCAAAGACCAAAGGTGGGATGAAAGCACAAAGGTGGGGAGAAACCAGAGCAGGAAAGCTGAAAATTCTAAAAATCAGAGTGCCTCTTCTCCTCCAAAGGATCACAGCTCCTCACCAACAACGGAACAAAGCTGGATGGAGAATGACTTTGACGAGTTGACAGAAGTAGGCTTCAGAAGGTCGGTAATAACAAACGTCTCCAAGCTAAAGGAGGATGTTAGAACCCATCGCAAGGAAGCTAAGAACCTTGAAAAAATATTACATGAATGGCTAACTAGAACAAACAGTGAGAGAAGACCTTAAATGACCTGATGGAGCTGAAAATCATGGCACGAGAACTTCATGATGCATACACAAGTTTCAATAGCTGATTCAATCAAGTGGAAGAAAGGGTATCAGTGATTGAAGATCAAATTAATGAAATAAAGCAAGAAGACAAGGTTAGGGAAAAAAGAGTAAAAAGAAATGAACAAAGCCTCAAAGAAATATGGGAGTATGTGAAAAGACCAAATCTACGTCTGATTGGTTTCCCTGAAAGTGATGGGGAGAATGGAACCATGTTGGAAAACACTCTTCAGGATATTATCCAGAACTTCCCCAACCTAGCAAGGCAGGCCAACATTCAAATTCAGGAAATATAGACAACATCACAAAGATACTCCTCAAGAAGAGCAACCCCAGACACATAATTGTCAGATTCACCAAGGTTGAAATGAAGGGAAAAGTGTTAAGGGTAGCCAGAGAGAAAAGCCGAGTTACCCACAAAGGGAAGCCCATGAGAGTAACAGCAGATCTCTCAGCAGAAACATTACAAGCCAGAAGAGAGTGGAGGCCAATATTCAACATTCTAAAATAAAAGAATTTTCAACCCAGAATTTCATATCCAGCCAAACTAAGCTTCATAAGTGAAGGAGAAATAAAATCCTTTACAGACAACCAAACACTGAGAGATTTTGTCACCACCAGACCTGTCTTACAAGAGCTCCTGAAGGAAGCACTAAACATGGAAAGAGACAACTGGTACCAGCCACTGCAAAAACATGCCAAATTGTAAAGACCATTGATGGTATGAAGAAACTGCATCAATTAATGGGCAAAATAACCAGTGAATATCATAATGACAGAATCAAATTCACACATAACAATATTACCCTTAAATGTAAATGGGCTAAATGCCCCCAATTAAAAGACACAGACTGGCAAATTGGATAAAGAGTCAAGATCCATCAGTGTGCTGTATTCAGGAGACCCATCTCATGTGCAAAGATGCATATAGGCTCAAAATAGAGGAATGGAGGAAGATCTACCAAGCAAATGGAAAGCAAAAAAAAAAAAAAAAAGCAGGGGTTGCAATCCTAGTCTCTGATAAAACAGACTTTAAACCAACAAAGATCAAAAGAGAAAAAGAAGGCCATTATATAATGGTAAAGGGATCAATTCAACAAGAAGAGCTAACTATCCTAAATATATATGCACCCAATGCAGGAGCACCCAGATTCATAAGGCAAGTCCTTCGAGACCTACAAAGAGACTTAGACTCCCACACAATAATAATGGGAGACTTTAAAACCCCACTGCCAATATTAGACAAATCAATAAGACAGAAGATTAACAAGGATATCCAGGACTTGAACTCAGCTCTGCAACAAGCAGAACTAATAGACATCTACAGAACTCTCCACCCCACATCAACAGAATATACATTCTTCTCAGCACCACATCGCGCTTATTCCAAAATTGACCACATAATTGGGAGTAAAGCACTCCTCAGCAAATGTAAAAGAACAGAAATCACAACAAACTGTCTCTGAGACCACAGTGCAATCAAATTAGAACTCAGGATTAAGAAACTCACTCAAAACCACTCAACTACATGGAAACTGAACAACTTGCTCCTGAATGACTACTGGGTAAATAACAAAATGAAGGCAGAAATAAAGATGTTCTTTGAAACCAATGATAACAAAGACACAACATACCAGAATCTCTGGGACACATTTAAAACAGTGTGTACAGGGAAATTTACACTAAATGCCCACAAGAGAAAGCAGGAAGGATCTATAATCGACACCCTAACATTACAATTAAAAGAACGACAGAAACAAGAGCAAACAAATTCAAAAGTTAGCAGAAGGCAAGAGATAAGTAAGATCAGGGAAGAACTGAAAGAGAAAGAGACACAAAAAACCCTTCAAAAAATTAATGAATCCAGGGGCTGGTTTTTTGAAAAGATCAACAAAATTGATAGATCACTAGCAAGACTAATAAAGAAGAAAAGAGAGAAGAATCAAATAGATGCAATAAAAAAAAGGGGATATCACCATTGATCCCACAGAAATACAAACTACCATCAGAGAATACTATAAACACCTCTATGCAAATGAACTAGAAAATCTAGAAGAAATGGATAAATTCCTGGACACATATACCCTCCCAAGACTAAACCAGGAAGAAGGTGAATCTCTGAATAGACCAATAACAGGCTCTGAAATTGAGGCAATAATTAATAACCTACCAACCAAAAAAAGTCCAGGACCAGATGGATTCACTGCCAAATTCTACCAGAGGTACAAAGAGGAGCTGCTAGCATTCCTTCTAAAACTATTCCAATCAATAGAAAAAGAGGGAACCCTCCCTAACTCATTTTATGAGGCCAACATAATCGTGATACCAAAGCCTGGCAGAGACACAACAAAAAAACAGAATTTCAGACCAATATCCCTGATGAACATCAATGCAAAAATCCTCAATAAAATACTTTCGAACTGAATCCAGCAGCACATCAAAAAGCTTATCCACCATGATCAAGTCAGCTTCATCCCTGGGATGCAAGACTGGTTCAAGATACACAAATCAATAAACGTAATCCATCACATAAACAGCACCAACAATAAAAACCACATGATTATCTCAATAGATGCAGAAAAGGCCTTCCACAAAATTCAACAGCCTTTCATGCTAAAAACTCTCAATAAACTAGGTATTGATGGAACTTATCTCAAAATAATAAGAGCTATTTATGACAAACCCACAGCCAATATCATACTGAATGGGCAAAAACTGGAAGCATTCCCTTTGAAAACTGGCACAAGACAGGGATGCCCTCTCTCACCACTCCCATTCAACATAGTGTTGGAAGTTCTGGCCAGGGCAATCAGGCAGGAGAAAGAAATAAACTGTATTCAATTACACAATGAGGAAGTCAAATTGTCTCCATTTGCAGATGACATGATTGCATATTTAGAAAACCCCATCGTCTCAGCCCAAAATCTCCTTAAGCTGATAAGCAACTTCAGCAAAGTCTCAGGATACAAAATCAATGTGCAAAAATCACAAGCATTCCTATACACCATTAACAGACAAACTGAGAGCCAAATCATGAGTGAACTCCCATTCACAATTGCTACAAAGAGAA
This sequence comes from Homo sapiens, assembly GCF_000001405.40. NCBI lineage: Eukaryota > Metazoa > Chordata > Mammalia > Primates > Hominidae > Homo > Homo sapiens. The sequence continues at coordinate 78,538,360 of NC_000014.9, read as the reverse complement.
TAAAGTACCTAGGAATCCAACTTACAAGGGATGTGAAGTACCTCTTCAAGGAGAACTACAAACCACTGCTCAATGAAATAAAAGAGGATACAAACAAATGGAAGTACATTCCATGCTCATGGATAGGAAGAATCAATATCGTGAAAATGGCCATACTGCCCAAAGTAATTTATAGATTCAATGCCATCCCCATTAAGCTACCAATGACCCTTTCTTCACAGAATTGGAAAAAAACTACTTTAAAGTTCATATGGAACCAAAAAAGAGCCCGCATTGCCAAGTCAATCCTAAGCAAAAAGAACAAAGCTGGAAGCATCATGCTACCTGACTTCAAACTATAGTACAAGGCTATAGTAACCAAAACAGCATGGTACTGTTACCAAAACAGATATACAGACCAATGAAACAGAACAGAGGCCTCAGAAATAACACTACACATCTACAACCATCTGATCTTTGACAAACCTGACAAAAACAAGAAATGGGGAAAGGATTCCCTATTTAATAAATGGTGCTGGGAAAACTGGCTAGCCATATGTAGAAAGCTGAAACTGGATCCCTTCCTTATACCTTATACAAAAATTAATTCAAGATGGATTAAAGACTTAAATGTTAGATCCAAAACCATAAAAACCCTAGAAGAAAATCTAGGCAATACCATTCAGTACATAGGCATGGGCAAGGACTTCATGACTAAAACACAAAAAGCAATGGCAACAAAAGCCAAAATAGGCAAATGGGATCTAATTAAACCAAACAGTTTCTGCATGGCAAAAGAAACTACTATCAGAGTGAACAAGCAACCTACAGAATGGGAGAAAATTTTTGCAACCTACCCATCTGACAAAGGGTTAATATCCAGAATCTACAAAGAACTCAAACAAATTCACAAGAAAAATCAAACAACCCCACCAAAAAGTGGGCAAAGATATGAACAGACACTTCTCAAAAGAAGACATCTATGCAGCCAATTAATAGACACATGTAAAAATGCTCATCATCACCAGTCATCAGAGAAATGCAAATCAAAACCACAATGAGATAGCATCTCACACCAGTTAGAATGGCAATCATTAAAAAGTCAGGAAACAAAAGATGCTGGAGAGGATGTGGAGAAATAGGAATGCTTTTACACTGTTGGTGGGAGTGTAAATTAGTTCAACCATTGTGGAAGACAGTGTGGCAATTCCTCAAGGATCTAGAACTAGAATTATGATTGGACCCAGCAATCCCATAACTGGGTATATACCCAAAGGATTATAAATCATGCTACTATAAAGACATATGCACATGTATGTTTATGGTGGTACTACTCACAATAGCAAAGACTTGGAACCAACCCAAATGTCCATCAATGATAGACTGGATTAAGAAAATGTGGCACATATACACCATGGAATACTATGCAGCCATAAAAAAGGATGAGTTCATGTCCTTTGCAGGAACATGGATGAAGCTGGAAACCATCATTCTCAGCAAACTGTCACAAGGACAGAAAACCAAACACTGCATGTTCTCACTCATAGGTGAGAATGGAACATTGAGTTCACTTGGACACAGGCCGGGGAACATCACACACTGGGGCCTGTCATGGGTGGGGGGCTGGGGGAGGGATAGCATTAAGAGAAATACCTAATGTAAATGATGAGTTGATGGGTGCAGCAAACCAACATGGCACATGTATACCTATGTATCAAATCTGCACGTTGTGCACATGTACCCTAGAACTTAAAGTATAATAAAAAAAAAAAAGAAAAATAATCTGTAGGTCTCAGGCATGTTTATTTCAATCTACATATTAAGCCTCAGACCAGCTAGAGCTAGTTCTATTATAACCAGTTCTGTACAATATAATACAAATCCTGGTATCGAGATCTACTTATGATAATTCACCATAAACATCACTGGGCTGGCTTACTAGAGTAGCCCCATGCCTTAGTTTGGGTTTCCTCAGAAGCAAACCTTCAGACCAAGAGTGAAGTGCAGGTAGATTATTAGGAACGTGATGCGGGGATGTGACCTACAGACGGGGCAAGAGCCAGCTACTATCTAGGGAAAATGGAATTTTAGCTCACTGAGGAAGGTCTAGGAGCCAGTAGAAAACAACACCAGCCATTGTTTGATGAACACTGAGGAAAGAGGACATTAATTTCTCTGCACTTCTGGTCTATAGCACAGGATACAAAGCAGATCCATTAGCAAAGAGCAAGCCCCCAGGCAGAAAAATGCATGCCTGATCGAAGTTGCATTGACTTGGTGAGAATAAGGGAATATGGGAGGGGTTCTGACCACAACTGTCATGCCACGAAACACTCTCAGACCCCATTTTTTGCTTTAAGAATTAGGAATCATGAGTCTGATGAGAACGTTGAGCAGAATAGAACACATGGCTTCACACGATTAAAAAAAAAGTCTCTTGGGAGTATCATAAATCATAGCTAAGCTCTACCCAACATCAATGGCATCCCACCACAAATAGCATTTCTTGGTTCTTACTAATGGCAAGATGTGGCACTAGGCACTTACATAGACATTTTCTTACCTAATTCTCAGAACTGTTCTATATTAAGCATGATTATCCATTTTTTAATAGATTTGGAAAATGGTGAGTTTGAAAGTTCAAGTTGCTTTACCCAACACAATACAGACAGTAAGAAACGAATACAGGATTTAAGTGTCTAAGTGCATCCTCTTTCAACTACATCATATCATCCTTCGGACTTTTTAGTCTTTTCCTCCTCCTCTTTCTCTCATAGAGAATATTGATGGAGCCCTGGCTACATGCTAGGCCTTGAAGTAAGCACTATCCAATTAAGTGTCACAAAAACCATGTGACCTATAACTACATCTTGGAATACTTAAGTAGCTTCTTAAAACCACAAATTAGTAAAGTGGCAAAGTCAGGACCAGAAATTAGGTCTTTCTAACACCAAAGTTCTATCCTTTTACTATTAAACTATTTTACTGCATAATCCTAAGAATAACATAGGTATGAATGGGGAGGTGCCTGTTATCAAAATCAATTTGCCACATAATCCAGAGTGAAACTAAGCCCCAAGTTCAACAGACTTCTTCCTTTCCCCTCCCCACTCTCCCTCCAGGACTTTGCCCAGTAAACAGAGAAGCAGAGTCTTAGATATCTTCATATTTGGCAGAAGCAGGGCAGCTCAGTTGTCAGTTTCACTCTACCTGAGGGAAATGGAAGGCTTTTTTTTTTTTTTCAATTAAAAGATAAGACAGAAACATTTCAAGGAATTGCCTCTCATTTTCTTGTATTATTGCTCTAATTTGCTCATTACACACAATTATTAATTGTGCTTTATTATAATTAGATGGTCTTTACTTATAACAAAGGAACAATCAGGTCTGTCCTTGTTTGTATTCCTTTGTGTACATACACATATGCGGAAGGGGAAAATACACCAATTTTAAAAGTGAAACTATTGTTAATGTACAAACAACTATTATCACTAAAAGTACATATAATTGCCTATTGCAAAAAATACTGCACAAATACAGGTTGAGGAGCACCTGTTTCTGGTAAGCAGCAATGAAAAGAAAAAAGGAGAATCTGAGGGTCCTAGGGGAATACCAAAGTGCTACCTTTTGTAAAGAAAAATGTAATCCCAGGAATGTTGAATGGCACTGTGGCACAGTGATAATCTCAGAACTCTACACCAGAATCTGGTTTAGAATTTTAAGTATAAAAGAGAAAGAGAGAGACTAAAAGCGTTCTGAGGAATGCCATAACAATGTTCTGAGCAAAAAAGGATCTAGAAATACATGTTAAAGAAATGAGGATGATAGTATCTGGCTGGCTGCTCTGCATCACCTTTTCTGCTTATTGCCCTGTAGATAGAATATTCGTTATAGATTGGGCAGCCATTCAGATGCACACTCATTCCACTTTCTGAATATGATTATGACATTCTTTAAAATCTTATTTTATACAGTTTACACATGCAAAAATTCAGTGTGGCCCTCACAGATCCACTGACGTCTGTCTGTGATTGACACTTCCTTACAACTGACAGCATTTATCTATAGTCATTATTGTCAGTGAACATTTTTTATTTATCTCAGTTTTGATATAAAATATCATCATAGGCTTAAAAGTCTCCACAGTAGATTCATGTTATTTAAGAGAGAGGCAGCAAAATCCATGTTGCCTCATTATCTCCCAATGGTGAAGACTGACTACAGACTTTCTAGAAGTCATTTGGTTTTAAATTAGTATTTACACAATTGGGGCAAATAGGCTGCAAAAGCTATCGTTAAAACTTTTTCAGCCCATTTCTCCCAAAGTGCACCATTACTTAATGGGGTGCACCATTACTTAATGGGGAAAAGCCTGAATTTCTTCAAACCTGCTCTAAATTTGTCATAAATACATTAAACTTAATTAAGCAGCTCATGTGTGTCAAGAACCTTGCCCAGTACTATAGAAAAAAATGATGTACTGAGTATGGAGGCACATTGAGGAAAAAAAATACAAAAACAGGTAACTCAGTACCATGAGTGCAATGGCCATAGTGGCCATATGCATGGTACTTTATACCAACAGAAAGGAAGGTGCTTCAACCTTGGTAACGGATGGAGAAAGTGAGTGCAGAAATGCGGGGAGGGCTTCCTGGAGAGATGATATCGAGCTGATTTTCAACAGATGACCACGAGTTAACTAAGAAAATAGGCAAATGCCAATATTGGCAAAGGGGAAGGCTCCCACAAACCGCAAACATGAGAAACAGCGTATCAAATACAGGGAACCACTAGCAACTGTGGGTGTTGTGGAGGGTGAACAGCAAGGTAAATGATGGTTGGAACAAAAAGCAGGAAAAATGGCAGGAGATGGATCGTGGACAGCCTTATACAGAAGATTGGACTATTACCCCACAGGAAATAGGAAGGTAACACAGATTTTAATCAGGTCAGCTTTGCATTTTACACAGTGAATATGAGTGAGGGTGTACACTAGTGATACAGGAGGATAAACAACTAGAAGAGAGCTGGAGGTTGGGAGGCTGAGGCGGGCGGATCACCTGAGGTCAGGAGTTTGAGACCAGCCTGACCAATGTGGCGAAACCCTGTCTCTACTAAAAATACAAAAATTAGCCGGGCGTGGTGGCTGTAGTCCCAGCTACTTGGGAGGCTGAGGCAGGAGAATCACCTGGAGGCAGAAGTTGCAGTGAGCCAAGATCGCACCACTGCACTCCACCCTGGGCGACAGAGCAAGACTCCATCTCAAAAAAAAAAAAAAAAAAGGCTGGAGGGAGAGAGAGAGAGATATCAGTTGGGAGACTGATGTAGTGGCATAGTAAGAAACAACAAAGCTCAGAATATAGGCAGTGGTAGCAGAAATAGAGAGGACAGGAAATTGAGAGCTGTTGAGGAAGAAAGTAATTAGAGCTTGATGGGTGTGGAAGATGTGACGTTTCTGAGACAGCTAGCTGAGATAGATAGTGGTGTCACATGCAGAAATGGTAAATACTCGAAGAATAGCAAGTTTGGTGGAAAAATAAATCATTGACCTAGGCATGATTCATTGGATGAAAAGAAAGATAATTCAGATTTCAATGAGTTGTGTAATGAATGATGATTTGGATACGAAGGAAAAAAAAAAGAAGAAGAAAGCGAAGATAAACAAAGATGGGAGCTAAAGAGATGTGGCGTCAAAGAAAGGATATTTGCTAGGTGGGAACACAGGAAAGATGATTCTAAGCTGACAGAATGAAGACAAGTAGAGAAGAGAGAGGGAGAGGTTGAAGATCATGTAGTGGGGTGGGGTGAGTGTGGAGAGAGAGAATGAATTATAGAGAAATCTCCTGAAAGATAGGAGAGAAGGAACTGGTCTTGAATGAGAGAAGTCATCTCTAAACCTGAAGAAAAGGAAATGAGAATTGGTGTGGAAGAAAGAATCTTTCTAAGGGGGCTGGAGAACTAAAACACACACACACACACACACACACACACACACACACACACACAAAATATCATCAATTTTCTTTTTCTTTTCTTTTCTTTTCTTTTTTTTTTTCTTTTGAGATGGAGTTTCGCTCTTATTGCCCAGGCTGGAGTGCAATGGCGCGATCTTGGCTCACCAGAACTTCCGCCTCCTGGGTTCAAGTGATTCTCCTGCCTCAGCCTCCCGAGTAGCTGGGATTACAGGCATGTGCCACCACGCGCGCACTTGGCTATTTTTTTTTTTTTTTTGTATTTTTAGTAAAGATGGGGTTTCTCCATGTTGGTCAGGCTAGTCTTGAACTTCCAACCTCAGGTGATCCACCTACCTCGGCCTCTCAAAGTGCTGGGATTACAGGCATGAGCCACCACGCCTAGCCAGTTTTCTCCATGAAGCAGGAATAAGGTTCTCCAATAAAACTTAGGGTTGAATAAGAAAAATAAAAAACTGGTGATATTTTGGAGCTGTCATTGAAGGAGATGGGATTGGGAGACCATCACAAAGCAGAAATGTTAACTGAAAATTCTGAAAGCATAAAACCTTCCCCCAAAAGCTTTACCTCCTAGAAAAGAAGCATAAAATAAACAGTCTCAAAGTGTCTACAGTTTCCCTAAGGACAAAAAGTAAGAAGGTTAAATAAAAAGTATTTGAGTACCTTTGGCCTCTACTGGCTACATCTTTATCTATCACTTAATGGAACTCCTTCCAATCTCATGGAGGGTCCCAAATACCGTGTCAGACTCTAAAAGGCCAACACAGGAGACACCAGCACATGCAAAAAAAAGGAAATGATACTCTGATTCAGTTCAGATTGGCACAGATGGATAGCAGAAGGTAACTGAGCTCTATCATGAGCCCTTTTGTAAAAAACAAAATGTAGATACTTCTGGGTAAAACTTGAATTCTCTCTCAGGCCAAGGTTTTGAGAAAATTGGTGGCTCAGGTAAAATTTCAGCTCCTGCCCTTCCATCAAGCAACATTAGTTGTAGCAATTCTCATTGTGGTATGCAAATACCCAGCCTGGGATAACTCTGAATTTCTGATCATAGCAATTAGACACTGAGAAGATTGACATGAAGTAAGTGTAGGAAGAAAACTTCACTCTCTCATTTCTCATTCCAAAGTAAGTGTAAGAAGAAAACCTCACCTCCAGGCCCAGGTCAAAGGGTAGGCTAACTCTGACATTTTGGCTAATCTCCATCAGCTCCTGTCCTAAGCTTCCTCATGAAAGTAGCCCAGGATGTCTATTGCCATGAGAAGAGGGCCAGCTCAGATTTGTGTGTAATGGCCATAAAAGGGGCAAAAAGAAAGAGACAGACTATGAAAAGTAAAGGTGCTTCAAGAAAATGAAGGAAAGGCATCAAAGATTAGAAAATAAATGAAAGTAGGGCTACTTACAGAGTCCAGGAGAAGACAAAGTGAGAGACCCAATAGTCAAGAAGCCACTTTGCTGTTCATCAGCAAAGCTCTGCATTTGAATACAGCTAATGAGTAGGGGAAAAAATGAGTTCTTAGGAAAGGCAGGGGTGGGGACAATGTATCACTTTGCTCCTAAAAGAATTTAACAGGCACTGAGAATTAGTCAATCTGGCTTTTGAATTTTACAGCCAAATACAGTAAAACCTGAAAGTTTGGGAAGGATTCATCCCCATGAATGTGTATGTTCCACTAGAAAAATCTTGGCAGAGTTTACCTGCTTTTGTAATTCTTGCCCTGGCAATAGTATGACCCAGCTTTTAGGTCAAGTCCTAAAACCAATGCTCCATGAACAACTGGGCCTACTCCTGTCTACACTTGGTTATCTGGAAGAGAGCCATACCTAGCATAAAAGACACCTCAGCCATCCGCAAGGGCACTGGTGGTTCCCCTGTTAAGCCAAACTCAGAAGAAGATATCAATTTCCAGGGCAACCCTTTTCCATCCTCCAGGCACCTGAAAAATAACTTGTAGAAGCCTAAGTGCCTTGACAACTGAAAATGCAATTTTTCCAAGGGAAAGGGGAAATAAAAAGGGTCTAAGTAAATTTCCTTCTGCTAAAGGGGGTGATTTTCACCACAGTGGCTGAGAGCCCTGTCCCAAACTGAGTAGTTCTTCATCCTGCTGTTCAGGGAGTGACAGATAAAAAGTAACCTGGTGCCTCTGTCCACGGTGCTGAAAATCTCCAAATAAGCTGACTCTGGGCCTGTTTAAAAAGGCGGAATTCACAGCCCTGGTGTCTGGAGGGCATAATTGTTTATCAGGCCACATGCAAAGGGCAGAGCTTTTTCTTTCTTTCTTTCTTTTATCTCTCTGATTAGCCAAGTCATGATTTTGCTATGAAATGTGGGGCTTTTGGCCACATTGAAAATTCCTATGTGAATTTTAGAAGATGCCAAACTTGGAATTAATTAAATTGCACTGTATAAATATTTATTAATTCAACAAGTATTATTGACTTCCTATTTGTACAGCAGAGAACTATGCTAGTGCTAAATATTCAGTGCAGAGCAAAGCCAGGCTCCTGCCTGCATTGTTCTCTCACACATTCTACATGTATGTTATTCTACATAAAAGTCAGTTACCAAAAGGCCATGTGGTAGCAAGGTGATTTGTTGATGGGGGATGAGATGGCCCAGCATGGGAGTCAGAAAATGCCACAGTGGGGATACTGTACAGTAACTGTGAAAGAGCCAATGCTTTTCAGAGCAGAAGAGAGCCAAATCAAAGGGTTAGAAAATGCTGTAATTCAGGACCCAGAGCTACAGAAATAGATAACTGAGGGAAGGATGAGGAACTGTGGGAACAGCCTCTGTTGACTAAAGCTGCAAAGACAAAACAAAGAAGTAGAATCAAGGAGGTTCTATGGATAGGTAGAAGAGGATGATGCCATATTGGGGTTCACGTTACTTCAAGAAAATGATTTTGACCTGAAATCAAAAGGGTGTCCGAGACCCAGAAAGAAAGAAAAGACATTGCTTCTCTAGTAATCAAGTTAAGTATAGAACTTAGTTTCTACTATGATCTCTCTCTCCAGTTTGTCACAGTTGCCACCATTTACACCCAACTCAGGGGATTTGAATTTCCCACTCTTATTTTATGCCATTATCTAGGAAACAATGTAGCACCTCACTTCCCACATTGTCAAGTAATTCTTCTTTGAACCGAATCTAAATTCCACCTGCTGCAACTTGCAGCTATTTCTACTTGCTGGGTGAGTGAAAGATTTGGTGCTAAACTGACTTGTACAGTTTAAGGACGCTACACTTTTTTCCCTGGCACATTTAGTCAGGCTCTATTATGAGGTTACAATCTCCTGACGTTTGTCTCTCCTATTATTTTAGCTCCACTAGCAAGAAGAGAACGATACTGTGAGTCAAGAGCCATGTGTTATTGGTGCTGGCTTTGTGATCTTAGGCCCCAGTTTCTTCATGTGAAAAATAAGGGGCTATGACTGGTAAACAACCTAGCATTGTGCCTGCTATACAGGGCTGGGAATAGGGTGAGGGAAGTGCCTCACTTGCATCAGGCAGAAAATTTAAGGGGGTACCAAAAGAATTGGTAATCTAGATACAGAATTTTTAATGCAACATTTAAAACACAAAAATGAATGGAAATATCCATGCTAAACAAAGTATCAAAAATTTAAATAAAGATAGGACCCCAAATCTGTACTTGCACGACTCTGCCTCACTCACCTCATTCTGAAAAAAGACTCTAAAAGTGATCCCTTCTGCCTATGGAAGTCTATAATTCTCATGAATTCAGTTCAAACCAATTCCATGGGCAATTTTTTCACTACCTTTATCCTGAATCTATCAAAATCTCAATCTAGGTACTAAACCCATAATTTCTGTTAGAAATTATACATGCTTGGCTCTGTGATTTACTGACTCTACTCTTAACTGTAAAATGGGGACAATGATATCCTGCCCTCACACAGTTGTGGGGAAAATCAAATAAAACAACCATCCCGCACTACATCCCACATCCTGGCTACTGACCTGGAAACGTCAGGTGGGGGTTCACATTTAATCAGGAGTGTGGAGATGTAAAGCAATTCAATCCTCCACCCCAAAATACTACACAAAATGGGAATTCCACTGAAGGGAAGTTGTTGCATTGCCAACATCTTGAAAGGCAAAACCACTGAAAATCAATCACCTCCTTTGCCGCTGGGCCAGGAACTAGGCAAAGGAAAATAACAGAAAGAAGCAAAGTGTGATAAGATGAAAACCTCTCTCAGTTCATTCCAATTTGGGTTGTTTTACTTCCATTAACTCCCTCAAACTCACAGAAGAATTTGAAAAAGATAATCTGTAACTGGGAATACTTTGAAAAGCAAAGGATCATAACAAAAGTGAATTGAGTTTAATATTTATACAGGGCAGTTCTAATTAAATTAACACACTCATGGATATGCTAAGCAGCAGACAGTTGTCTGCTTTTCTTCTCGTTATCCTTCCCTACCAATTACTGCACATCTTTTTTAAATGTTTAATTCTTCTTGATAAAGTTTTACTTCACAGAGGAGGAAGAAAATAAGCAAATGATAATCTTTTTAAGAAGAAAATAAGGAAGGCATTTCTTCTCAATAAGAGAGATATTGTCCTGTCATCAGTGACAAATAATAAATCAGCAATCAACACAGTCACTATTAGGCCTAATAGCTATCCATATTAGTTTATCATTGACAAAATATTTTAATGTCTGCTATATTATTTAATTCTCCTATTTGCCTCCCACTCACCACCACTAGCCAGTTAAAGCTATTACTAGCCCCATTTTTCAGATCATAAAAAATTGGAGCTTAGAAAGTTCAGTAAGGCTGGACATAAAAATAACACAGAAAAGAAGGCTGACATGGTTTGGATCTGTGTCCCCACCCAAATCTCAAGCTCAATTGTAATCCCCAGTGCTGGAGGTGGGTCCTGGTGGGAGGTGGTTGGATCATGGGAGTGGAGTTCTCATGAATGGTTTAACACCATCCTCCTTGGTACTGTGTAGCAAGTGAGCTCTTACAAGATCTGGTTGTTTAAAAGTGTGTATCACCTTCCCACTTCATCTCTTCCTCCTGCTCCAGCCATGTAAGATGTGCCTGCTTCCCCCTTTCGTTCTGCCATGATTACAAGTTTCTTAAGGCCTCCCCAGAAGCAGAGAAGATGCTGCTGTGCTTCCTGTACAGCCTGCAGTACCATGAGCCAATTAAACCTCCTTTCTTTATAAATTACTCAGTCTCAGGTATTTATTTGTAGCAGTGTGAGAATGGACTAATACAAAGGTGTAAGGATAAATAAAGGGGTAAATTTAGTTTATTGATATTCTTGGTGACTTTAGGAAGTTAGTCAATAAAGCCTTTACTCAAACTCTGGAATCCAAGTGCTCTCTTAAATAAGTAGTTTCTATCCAGCTCTAGATTACTTGAATTCTGTTTCTCATTGCCACTTCACTCCCTTAATCCACACAGCCCTGTACAAATAGTCTTCCATTTGGCCCTCACTGAGATGGAATAAATTCATACAGCCAGGTGTGAAAACTGAAAGCTTCTTTGGTGTATTTCTGGGTGACTTGGATATCAGGAAGCATAGAAAATATGAATCCCCTTTCTTCCACAGACTTTATTCATCGCTGTTTATTTCACTTAGTCCAACTCAGCTTTCCTGTCTATAAATAGTCATCATCCCTACCTACCTCTTAGGATTATTGTACAAAGATAATAATGCACGAAAGTGCTTACCCTAGTGCACGGTGCACAAGTAAGCATTCAGTTAATTGTTAGTTACTATTATCAGATAAAGCAGATATGCTCCATTTTTACTGAAAAAGAAATGAAGACTCACAGAAGAACCTAAGGTCACCATTTGAATGAAAGAAAGTACATGAAACATTTAGCCCAGTGCTTAAAGTAGAGGAAAGCTCAAAGTTAACAATAACATTGTTAGTTTTCTTTGTTTTTGGCTAGATGTCACACTGGAATATAGTTTTCCTGACTCCAAATCCCGTATCCACAGAAACGTTTGCATCATGTTGACATGAGAAAGCCAGGCCTGCTGGCTATAGTGCTATCTTTGCAGATTTGAAGTTTGAGGCCCAGGGGTCTCTTCAAAGTCAAGAGAGAGAGATTTCAGACTATGTTCAGACAGCCACTTGATGTCATTCTGCACGGCAGATGTCCACAATGGCCTGGCATCCTTTCTGATCGTATCAGCCTATTTTTCTGCTGTTGAAGTGTGACATCCCATATGATACTCCTCTTTTGCAAACTCATCTCTGGAATTCAGCTGTTCAAGGCTTTCAACTAAGTAATTATGCGGCTATCTAGGTTTCCTATGGCTTTCATTCTCTGGCCACACTCTCTTTGTTTCACTAGACCCACAATCATGTGGCCTGAGTTCCATGGACACAATGAGGAAAGCCATGAAGTAAGCAAGGCTCTTATGAATCCCCTTTCAGTCAGGAATCCAGAAATGTGAATTTAGTGAATTCTGTCACTAAAACAGAACCAGAAGAGAGGTCAAAGATTCTATCACCTAGTTCCTTCACTGCATACATGAAGAACCCAGGACCTAGAGAAATTAAAAAATTAAGGTCACACTGCTAATGAGGAGCAAAACCAGGAGAACAAAACGAGGAGGAGCAAAACCAGGAGAAATGCCATCTTGATTTCCATTTTTTGCCAGTTAATCTCTCCTAAAGTATTAATTGATAATTACAGAGTAAGCTGATAAAGGGATTAAGGTTACACCCATCTCAGGGGTATTTTAATTTAGAGGGATCTGAATTCCCAATGGGATGAAGTGATTATGGCATGAAGTCCAGCTGAGGGACTTTAGTACCATGGCAAGTGGTCATGCATTTTAGCCCTCAGATTATTCCCCATAGGAGGCAGTGCACAGATAGGGCTGGGTCTACAGTAAGAGAATCCCTGTCTTTATCTATGGTAAATGAAGGATGCCCCAATCTTATTCTAATTTCCTTGGTTATGCAAATAAAAGCAATAGTCAAGCTTATAAAGGAACCTTAACATCTACTGACAAATGTTCTCATCACCTAGGCATGGGGGCCAATGCTTATTTTCATGATTCCCTGTATCCTACATCCTCTGATTCAGCACAACAGTCCCCTGACCCATACCAGCAGTGTGCAAATTAAAATCCAGTTTTGAGACAAGGGAGAAAGCCTCTATTTAGTTTTCCCCTACTAAATTTTGAAAGCTGGAAACTCTGTCCAGACTTCTCACACAACTTCAGCCTGTGCAAAGGGTCCTCCCCATTTTCTAAGAATTCCAAGAACCCCACTTTGTATGAAAACAGAGAAACAAGGTTGAATTTTCCATGTAACATCTAGAGCTTCTCAAAAATACAAGGAAACTAGCAAACATAGGATTGTCAGAGAAGTAGATCAGATAAAATACTGATGGAACACATGCCGTTAAGAGGATTATGCCGAGCGGATTAGCTACGCACAGAATGCAAACGGAAAGAAAAGGCACTTATTGGAATCATCATTTCCTCTTCAGGCAAACTCACATTCAGGCTTCCCTCTGTCCTTTTTCATGATCCTTGCCCACCATCTCAGGTTAATGTGATTTGATTCACTCTGATGCCATTTTAAAACATTTTGCCTAGGTCCAGGTGGAGTTCAAGTATTTTGAAAAGGGAGCTTAATAGAAAAAAAAATTGTGCTGAGAGAGGTTGAAGGTATCTTTTTCTAAACCTCTTTGAATATAGGTTAGATTCGTATCTGGCTCATGAAGTTTCAGAGTGATGTGTTTTAACTTGAAGGTAAAAGATAAAGAGATCCCCAAAGGCCATTCTATAGACTGGCAGAAAAATCGCCTGGGGAAGTTGTTATAAAAAAAAATTCCTGCACCCTACACTAAAAGAACCTGATTCAATCGGTCTTAGGTGGAGCTTAGGAATCAGTGTTTTTAATAAACCCTCCAGGCATTCTGCCATGCACCTGAGCTCGAGAATCACTGGGTTAGAAAGATGATCTCAGATAGTCCCTTTGGAACCTTGGCTCTGGTTCAGTGATTGTGTTAATAGACATACACATGCTATAGAATGACTTCTTGCAAAATGCACAGATATAGCACTTTCCTCCAGCGGATCACTGTACCACAGTGTAAGGACTTTTCTCCACGTTTATATATCCCGGAAGAATGTGGCCCTGACAGAACTCCACATGCAGGTAGAAATACGAAACTATCCAGTAAAGACAAAAAAAAACATACACTAAGATTTCTGAGATTAGTACAGTGATATCCATAATCGTGACCACCCCTCAAGCACTGTGCTTGCAGCACATCTTTTTGTCAAAATCACTTATGAGGTGTATGTCTAGCATACTTTGTGATAATAACAAAATGCCAAAATCTATGGATGATTTACTTCTTTTTCTCAGTCTGAGTGAACAGAACCCAGGACATTGATTGGGCTGTTTTGTAGTGAAAGGACGCACTGAAATTGAAAGGAAATTCATTTGAGTATGGCTTTCTCCACTGTTTACCAGCTGTTCAGGAAGCAGACCCACATAGACTTGAGTAGTCTGAACTATGGGTCACACTCTCTTGTATTCTTTTTTTTTTTTTTTTTTTTTTTTTTTTTGAGACAGAGTCTTGCTCTGTCACCCAGGCTGGAGTGCAGTGACGCGATCTCAGCTCACTGCAAGCTCCGCCTCCTGGGTTCATACCATTCTCCTGCCTCAGCCTCCCAAGTAGCTGGGACTATAGGCACCTGCCACAACGCCCAGCTAATTTTTTTTTTTTTTTTTTTTTTTTGTATTTGTAGTAGAGACGGGGTTTCACCGTGTTAGCCAGGATGGTCTCAATCTCCTGACCCCGTGATCCGCCCGCCTTGGCCTCCCAAAGTGCTGGGATTACAGGCGTGAGCCACCGCACCCGGCCTACACTCTCTTGTATTCTTTACTAACCATTACTGGGCACTGTGGTTTTACCACTGCCTAGAGTTAAGATTTGATTTATGAGGCAGAGAAAGTCTGCTTAGATTTGAGGCTAAGCCCTATGCAGCAACCAAATTATTGCGAGTTATGAACAAAAGTACAATTGATAATAAGGCAGACACTAATTTCTCCTTTGGCATTATTCCTTGAGTTTACAGCTCCTTCAGGACTTGACAGGGAAGGGAGATGTCTCAATCAAGGGAAATTCAGACATTCCCCTAGGTTTTACAAAGAGCCTGAGGCACAAATGGTATTTGTTGGCCAACCAACTGATCCCTCAGAGCACTCCAGAGATAATCTGGAAAACAAGGGCAGTGCCAATATCTATACAGAGTTTAGATCAGACTTGTGTCTATTGTCATGGTATGTGATTAGTGCTATCTCCTTGACTATGGATATATAATGTATCAGCCACATATAAAATAACATTGCTAGATTTTAATATATTTTAAAATCAAATAACATAGACCCAAGATAAAAGAAAAACACTATGAATTCACATTCCTTTAGAAAAATGGTTCAAGTGTGGCTGGATTCAGGGTCTTAAAGAATACCGTTAGATATTGATTCTCTATTTTTCCCTCCATAGTTCAGACAAGCTCTTCTCTCGCTAATTAATGAGAAGGATGCCTGCTAGTAGTCTAGCCTTGCATTCTACTTGTTTAACAACCCCAGTGGAAAGAGAGTATCTTCCCTGATGACTCTAGCAGAAAGGTAAAATCAGCTTGAAAACATTAAAAATAAATAGCTGTGGACAGAAGAATAGGCTATTCTGATTTATCAGACCTAGATATGTGCCCAACCCCGACTACAAATGAGTTTTGGAATAAAGGAAGTTCCACCCCATCATTAAAATGTGATTTTTACCCATAGAGAAAACAGATTATATGGTGCAAAGGAAAAAAAGATGTTGGCTACATGACATGAAGATGTCTAGTAGTGTTATAGTGCCAGGAATTATTTTAATTGTAGTCAACTATTTCCGATAACAGATTCATAGAAAAGACTAACAGAAATCAATGAGTCTACTCTCCTATCTTGAATAAAAATGACTCTTTCAACCAAATTATTTATTAGACATCATAGTGTAATATAAAGAGTATGGAATTTAGAGTTAGGCACACCTCGATTTAATGGCTCTGACATATCATGGTTATGTAACACTTACCAAGCTACTTAGTGTCTTTGATTTTCAGTTTTCTCATCTGTCAGAATAGCCTAATTCACAAGACTGTTGATTAAATGATATGTAAAAAAGTATATGTAAAAAAGCATAGTAACTTACTCATAGTAGATATGTAGTAAATATTAATCCTCTGCTTTGAACATACCATCCCTTCATCGTTATGGCTTTTCTAGTGATAAAATAATGCCTAAATCATACCAGCCAGATAAGAAATGCTCTACTTTGAAAAACCTGTGATACAGGAAATAAACAGTAAAAATATTTTATTGAAGTATGACCTAAATCATTCATCTTCATCTCTTACCTATTCCTTCCTGCTCACTTATCAGTGAAATTAAAAATCAGTGGGCTACCATCCTTTATGATAAGAATTTTTCAAACAATAAAGGACAACAATAAGTTAATTTACATCCTTCCTTTTTCTTGGTTCCCAAGTTTCCTTTTGTTAACCCCCAAAAACATATATTCCATGGGGTTTTTTTTAAATTTCATCAGGATATACAGATAAGCTCTACTCACAGAGAAGCCCTCTTATCCAGTTATATATCATTGTGGTATTTTACATTATAAACCATTCACTGAAATTAAGGTTTTTATATGTTTTTGTAAAGATATATCATTCATCTCCCCTAGAATAATCTGAGAGTGTTTTCCCCATCCACAAACTTATATCCATCCCCCAAAATAATTAATACAAGAGTCTATAAAATATTGCTCACTTAACCATCCTCAATTGGCTAAGTGGCCATTGTAAAAATTAACCCTGGGCTTCAGGCAGAGCACTTCTGCATAGCATGGGTCAATTAGCTCTCTGTATATGTGACTTTTAAGAAAAGAATTAAAGACTAAAATTTTTCTTCATCGTTTACCTTTGATGATTAATATCTAAATGGCCCGCATTAAATGTGGTAGATGTCTTTTTTGAATAAATACATTCTTTGGAGAGAATAAAATGCCAAACTAACCTAAACATCAAGAAAGATGGGCCAAGCAGAGTAACAGCAATTATTTTCTAATTGGCTTATGCTTTTAATATATACAGGACTGAATACCAGAAAGAGGCAGAAATAAATGACGGTGAAAGGAATTAGAGTGGGGATAGAGGAAGAGAGAGAGACAGACAGACAGAGTACACAAAGGAGCATGCAATGGATCCCCCATAAATTATTCCACTTGAACTTCAATTACATTGATTGCTATGTATTTGTCACTGATAGGAAAATAAAACTTTTGTTCTCTCCAGCTTTGTTTATCCTCCAAATGGCAAAGTAAAACAATGTCATTCAGAAGTCATAAATCTGACCGGGGAGAAAGCCCTACTGACAGCTTCTATGCCGAGCTATTTTTTAAAAAGAAAGATATTAACTTCTCAGCACCATAATATTAATGCCTGTACCTCCTCTGCCCCCTAGGGTCTTCACAGCTCCTAACTTTCACTGTGCTAATTCGCAGTGTTCTGTCTCTTCCCATCATGAGGGGCACCAGTTGGACAACCTTCCAACCTATCCAGTAATCGTTCCCAACTGCATCACTTTCAAACTAATTTCACAAACATGAGAATATTTGAGTCTTAGCACAAGTTTGTGAGTATACAGGGAATAACCTGTCTACATTTTACAAATAAGGATACTGAGGCTTCAAAATAAACTAAATGACTTTACCCAGCTTCTAAGTGGTGAAACCCTGATTTGAACTTTTAATTTCAAATCCAGTATTCTTTCCACTCTATTCCACCAACTTTATCTGAGTCCTCTGTATCATTGTGAGACATGCCCATTGTTTGAGTCTATCTTCAAAGTTTCACCTTGAACTACAGTTTCCTGAAAATTCCAATAAATACGTAATAAGTATATGTGATCTGGGCTAAAAGGCTAAAGAAATTCCAACCCAAGCAACTAATAAATTGCATCCAGATTAATTAAATGCTAAAATATCTGGGAGAAAAGCAAGCAGAAAGAAGTTAAAGGACTTCACTGACAATATCTGTTTCTACCCATTAATTATTTCAGTTGATCAAATGCCCATCCAGGGTCTGTGCAGGTTAAAGGAAAGAATAATAAGCTCACCATTGGACAGGTAGTATCCAAGGCAAGGTCCTGGCAGGGCCAGTGAGTGAAATGGTCAATCAAGTAATTACTGCATGCAGAATGAGGGTTAGGAACATGGAAAGGAGCCAATAATCCAGATAGATAGGAAGGCTTGAACAGGGGATGTTTCAGCACCATGGAGAGGTCCACCCCCAACTGTTTCAGAGGCATTTGAAAGAGCCTTGCTATTCTTGAATCCCACAACTTGGGTCTTCTTTGGTTGACTTAATTCAATAAACTTTAAATGTTCACTGTTGCATACCTAGTATTAGGGTATAAATATTTTACAGAGTCTTTCCAAAAGCATTTCTTGTGTTCCAGCATGCTCTACAAACATCTCTAAACTTCTCTAAAGCTATGTCTTCTGTGTCTTCATACATGTGGGTCCTTTGATATTTATTCCCTTTATTTCCTTGATTTACCTAGGCAACTCCTACTCCTTCAAGGTCCTCAACAAATATAACCTTCTCTGTGAATGCTCCCAATCATCTTAGACAGTTAGTTGCTAACTCCTTTAGCAATTTCTGACTTAATGGTGGTCTTCCTCACCATGTATTACAGTCATTTATTATTCACCTCTACAAATAGACTGAGATGACTTTGAGGATAAGTATGGTGGTTTTTTCTTTTGCTTTCCCAGCACCAGGCACATTGTATGTACTCAATTAATGTGTACTGAGTAAATAAATTAATGAATAAATGGTATTAAGTTACACATAATGAGGAATCATTTCAATAAAATGCTTCCTAAATAAACACGCAGAGAATGTAAGTATCCATGGAATGGAATAAAATGAGCATTTTTCTCGTGCACACATCTACCACAATGATGACTGGAGCAGGTTGGTAAATGTGGGGGATTTGATCATTACGTACATACTTATCAGAGCCCAAGTTCTCCTGAAGCAGGATGATGGGTAGAGAGATACCTCGGTTTGCCAAAGTGGTCTTTATCACAGACATATGTTTACTAATAACTACAAAATGACCCAATCCTTCTGGATCCTTTGCTACCATAAGTCTCAACTTTCTTGTAAGGTTTTTACATACTAAAGATTTTATTATTCATCTACTCTGATCTATAGACAAGTTGTATAATAAATTATTCAGCCACTTCCTGATGAATAGCAGAATGATATTATATACTAGAGTCTATCTGAAAGGAATATTTCTTTATAGGCTAGAGGCCAGTTGACTGTCCTACTCTTTGAAGAAGAGTGACAGTTCCTGATTAAGGTTATTTTTCCTCAATACTAGATTCCAGGGGAGCAGAAGATATCACAGAGAGGAAATCCACAGTGATCAAATGGGACAACCCATCACAGGCCTTATCTTCACCTCCAGAACGAGTAGTTCTTTGTTCTGGGGTATGCTTTGGTGTAGGAAAACTTGAGGATTACCCCCACCTGCCTCAGGATGTATCCATCTGTGAACCAATTAGGGCATGGGCTATGATCTCACCATTTTATAGCAGAAGAAAAGAGAAAGACCTAAATTCAAAAAGCCTGACTTTTGATTGAATTCTTGCCTCTGGTAAAGCCTGCTCCCATATGTGTCAAGGATAAATGCCAAGTAAGAGCTCGCATTTTGTACCCAGGAACAGCTTAAATCAAACCCTGTTTCTGCTGGATCCCAGAGGTTTTGACAGTTCATGGAGAGACACTCTCATTGGTTCTCAAGCTACCTTTTCTTTGGGGACCTCACTTTTTTTCTATTTTATGTCACATATGGAGCAAAAGTCAAATTAGGCACACTTTCTGATCACCTCTAGCTCCTGTAACTCCGGACTGGATTAGATCCCCACCTAGAGAGAAATTTAAATGACAAAAAGTGATGCTAAACATAAAGACTGCAATCCTTCCAGGTGGGTGAGACTCCATGTAAATTACCATTTCCTAAGAAACCAAAACCCAGCCTCTTTTCTGACTTACCACAGCCCTCATTGTGGGCATCACATTTGGGTACTTGTACTATACTACCGGAACTTTAAAATTGCCAAGAACCACTGAAAATAAAGTTCTGGGCATATATGCCTTAACTCCCCAAATAGACTGTAAAGGTCTCATGAGAGGGCATCATGTCTTAGTTTTTTCAAACCCCATAGAGTAATCTTCTATGTTATCTAGGTTCTAACAACTTAACAAAAGATGATTCCTCTATTTGCAACTCCAGCTCAGATATTCTTCTAAGACATACTTAACCTCCCAAAAGATCCATTTGTCTAGGCAGAGAGTTTAGGCACAGGAAGTTGGATCCCTGGTTTCTTGAGTGAAAATACATGAGGAGTGACAACTTTACAGATTTTGAACAAGCTTTTTCTGACAATCTAAACTGACAGTGAACATCATATGTTTCCCTCTGATGACTTAAGAACAGAATATGAACCTGCATTTGCAAAGGTAAAAATTTGATTTTTGACGTCTAGATAGTCCATCTAATTGTCCTGAGTACTTTTCTTTATCGTGTGCTTCTTTGGAATAATTGAATTGAAGGCAAAAACACCTTCTTGGGCTGTACACTTTGATAATGAATTCCTAAATGGTTTTCACCTATCTCTGAGAGAAACAGCAGCCTGTCTGGCAGCTGACAGTCTAGTTTCTGAACTTGACTAATGCAATGAAGAGAAAGAGGTGAGCAAAATGTGAACTGAAGATAGCATATGGGCTTTTTGATAATGAGCATAGGGAGTCTGTTTCATGACAAATGACAGGGAAAACAAGTGTACTTAAAAATCCATCTCTGTAACTGTGCTGTAACCACAGTTGGGGTAGCTCAGCAGACAGCCCCCTCTCACCAAATTCTAGTCACCCATATGTACTAGGCAAGGGCAGAATTAGGACAGAACCTGTTCATGTGATATCCTAGTAAGAGAAGAGCCTTGTCACTACCACTCATCACCCAGCATTACTTAAATCAACATATTAAATAGCTCAATCATCCTTTTCATTATCTAAAGTTATTGGCCATACTCCAATAAATGCACACTGATTTATACATTTCTAAAGTGTTTATTTTCATTCACCCCATGAGAAAGAAAACCTAAATTATATTCAAATAAAATAAAGTGAAAAAACAAATGATTTGGACATGGCCTAAAAATGTAAGAAGATTAAAATACTTTCTCACTTGTGCCTGAAGCCATCAACTTCTCTGTACTCCATAGAATTTAACAAAAATTTAAACAAAAGATGGATTCAACATAATATAATCTCATGCCCTTCTTTTTCAGACTGAAGAAACTGAGACCTAGATAATTCAAATTGCTTACTCAATGTAATCCAGTCTAGCACACAGGTCTCCTGGTTCCCAGTTCAGTTTATTGTATATAATGTTAATGATCAGATTTACTTTCTCTTTTGCTAACTCTTTTCTTCAAAATTCATTAACTATAGTTATTTCCCAAGTTTCAGTGGGAAATATTCTCAAAAAAATCTCTCAAATATTCTACCTTACCCATCAGAGAACTCAACTAGGCATTTGGTGTTTGTTGTTACTTTTTACACAAATTCTCCCCAAATCTTTCACATTAGCTCACACCAACATTCTTTTCAGGGACACAGACCTAGAATTTTATACTGCAAGCATGGATGTTGACCTCGGTGCTCTCCACCAACACCCAAGCAGAAAATTGAAAGCCCCCTGCAATCTCACTACTTCTCAATGCCATCATTTTCTTTAAAGCCATCTCAGATTTCCTGAGTTCCAAGATGGGCAATCTAAGCAACAGATGGGAGAAACTTTTCTCAGAGATCACCTGGCCTCATGTGTCATCTATACTCTCCACAGCCAATCTCTCCTCTGCTGCTCAGCCTAGCCCCAATTCCTTCTTTTCTATTCTATAGAATTAAAAGGGATAACAACTATTAGAGAGAAGCCAGTGACTGGTATGGGGTAGACCTGGGGTAAATGCCATTTGGCTGTGAATTTAGTCAAATCTTTACGCTTTTTGAATACCCAGGGGCACTATAGCTTTGAATTCTTGACATGTTTAACCCCAGCTCTATATTGGCCTTCTCACTTTTATCTGGAAGCCATTGGCTGTTGGTGAACATGACATGAATTTTGTGATTGAGGCAATGTTAATTATTATGGCAATTTTGACACTGGTGATGAATACCATGGAGTGGGGCCTGGACTAAGTGCCAGGTACTGTGCCAAGCTTTTTACATGCAATTTGTCATTAGTCCTCACAGCAACGAATCCTAGGCACTGTTGTTTCCATTTGAAAGATGAGGAAACTGTGGATTAAAGTGCTTAAGGCGCTCATCCAATTTGGATTCTAGAGTCCAAGTTCTTGACTATTCTGCCTCACTTGATGTTCTTGTTAAGGACGTCAAAGAAATGAGGAGATTTCCATCTATATCATGCTGCTTTTCCTATTCCGTTCCTTCCAGTCACATTCTATCTTTTTCTTTTCCCCTCAAATTATCTTTACACTCAAGAGCCTCCTCTTTTGAACTCTGTTTTTCACGAAACTCGTCATCTCGGCCCCAGTGGCACATCCCCTATCTGCCTGAAGACAGTATTTTTCCTCTATTGGATCTGTGCTCAACTCCTGCCCTCCTATTAGTGAAATCTCCCACTTTTTAACAGGTTGTATAAGGCAAAAGGTAGTTTTCATAGAAAAAAAAATGTTGCATATAGAACTATATTTTAGGCTGCCATTATTTAAACTGCTTTTTCATAGGCCACTTCCTAGGCAGGAGGGAGTATCTGGGAAAGTTTTTCCAGCTTGGGGTCAGCTGTCTATTCCCTAGCTCTGAGTCCTGGATCTCTGTGATCTGCCCAAAACAAATAAGCCAAACCTTAACGCTTTAACTCCCACCATAGTTGGCACAATAAATTTCAGGAAACTGACAAGGGAGACTATGTAAAGAGCATAGGGACCCCACTCTTGTAATAGGTCAGTCTGGATTCCATTGATTACCAGGTCGAAGATGAGCATCCCTCTATCCCTAGCATACTCTTCCTGCACAGTTACATTCTTCACTTCCCTCCTCCATTGATTCCCCTGGTGAGTGTTCTCTGTCTGCTTAAAAAAGCCCTTCATCTTTTGGCTTTCCTTTAATACAGCGGTTTTCAACCTTGGCTAACTGTTAGAATCACCTGGAGAGGTGTTAATAAGCACTGTGGCTTAGACCTCATCTCAGAGATTCTGGCTTAATGTGCCAATAGTAGGACCAGACCTGAGCATATTTTCCAAGTGCACTACAGAGCAATGACAGCTGCTCCTTGACTCTACCAAGCTCGTTACCACCTTAGAGCTTTGCATTAGCTGTTCCCTCTGCCAGGAATGCCAATCACCCAGATCTTTCACAAGAATGGCTTCCATTCTTCATTCAAATCTCAGCTTAAATATCACCCAACCCAAGTGGTCCTCCCTGATTTTCCTCTCTACAATGGTGTTTGACCCTTATAGTCACTATTGTGTTTCCTTGCTTTAACATTTCATAGTTCTATGACTATACGATATTACTGTGTGTATCTGCTTGTTTTTAATTGTTTGTCTCCATACTTAAGATGTAATCAGCATGAGGGAAAGAACCTTTCCTGTCCATTGCTGTATCTCTGGGATGTAGAAGAGTTACTGAAATATAGTATGTTCTTAATAAATTGAATTTGTTGAACTCAATGATTGAATGAATGAATAAACTGTCAGTCAGAAACCATTACAGGCAAAATTATCTCCAACATTCTGTCAAAATTACTTCCTGGCACAAAGGGTCTACCTTCATGTACTCATCTGCTAAACTTTGTGATTCCACCCAAGACTCCTTGCATATTTATGCCTCTGATCGCTTGGCTATGGCATTTTTTACCTCGACCTAGCTACCCCATAGAACACAGCTCAGATCTCACATCTTCCACAGAATCTTCCCTAACCTCTCCATCCCAAAGTGTCTTTTTCTTTCTCTAGTTTCCTATGGCAATAATTTATCATTCAAATATTAGTTAATGTTATACTATATACAACTCTGTGACATCTCTTTCATTGCGGTCTTGGAACTGTTTACTAGAGAGAACCTGAACTCCTGGAGACCCTGGACACTTGGTTATGAAAGTCACTTTGGGTTCCTGCTAGCTTTGCAAATCATAAAAGAATATGAAAGGTGGCAGCAGAAACTCAGGTATAGTGCTAAGAAATGTTCAGCTTAGAACAAAGATGCACATAGATGACACATTCCTAGATCTGAGCAAGAGTTTGGCCACAGATTAAAGAGAACTGACCCAGAACACAACATGCCTTAAGAAAGACCAGTAAGCAATGTTATAGAAGCCAAGCATACAGAGGTAGACTAGTTATGGAGAGATGGGGAAAAACTGATGAAATAACCCAGTGGCAGTAAGCTTTCTGCATGTCAGGAAATAGGAGTAAATGAATTATGGGGATCTTAAATCAATTTTTATATTGATAATCCTGAACACCAGGTATTTGGGATGGGGTTTGGTCTATGAGCTCACGAGCTGATGTTACAGACCACCATAAAATATTTCAATCCAACAAATCTCATTCCAAAATACTTGAATTTTTTTTGCACATTGATTTATAAAAGTTACTGCAGTCTCAGTAACACAGTTTTTACTTAACTCCTCATGTATTTATTTTTTATCTGCCAAAATAGACTGCATGTTCCTGTGTCTCATAGAATGGTCATGCGAAATGAGATTGCCTAGATGACAGTCTTTCGAAAACTATAATTAACAATGCAAACATGGGATAGGATTTCAATTGTGAAATAACTGTAATTTTTCACTATCTCCTGCTCTCTAATCTACCCTTCCTTTTCTAGGCCGTCTCCACCAACTTCTAATGTTTCTCCTGTTAGACTAGGAGGCAAGATCAAAGGGAATAAGAAAAGCAAAATCAAATTATGATGAAGATGATGATGATAGCTAACATCTAATAAGTACCTATCGTGTGCCATACTCCTAATAAATACAATATTAATTCTCACAATTAAGGCTTAGAGAAGTTGTGCAAGATCACACAGAGCTAATTAATCTGGCAGAGGTAGAATTGGAAGCTGGAAAGTCTGACTGCAAAGCAGGGTGCTTTCTGCACTGCCAAGTTGCCTTCCTCATCAGATTCATAGCCTCTGAGATTTCTCCTCCCAGACCAGAGATCCAAATGTAGACATGGGATCAAAAAGAAGAGGGCCTTACAACAAATGCTCTGGGATGAGATGTGCTGGAGCAAACAGAATTGGGCTAGCTTGCCCTTACTTCTCTAAGCCTGGGGCAGGACTGCTTCAGATCCTACGGGGCAGAAAGCAAAATTATATCAATAGCACTCTCAATGACAGATGCCCTAGACTTCCTTCTCAGAAAGAATAAATGAAAAGCTCTTATTCTAAGAGATCACAGCTTCAAACTCTTCCTACCTTGTGGTTTTCGCCTGCAGGTTCCTTTTTTATCTCTTAGGGTTGTAGGAGAACTTTGGCAGGAATTGATTTACCAGACAGCCTCTCAGGAAGGCATCACATCTGTCGCATTTCCTTTTCTCTATCTTCCTGTGAGAAACAAATAAACTAAAAGTGACTGTCTAGTGGCCTGTCCCAAAGAACTTGCCTGGAAAGTTGTTACACTCTGATTGCCACCTAAGGGTTTTGATTTTGTTTTGTTTTTACAAAATCAAGGTAAATCAGTGTGGCAGATATTGGCCAGCTGTCCTGGAGCCTACTTCCCTTTCTGTCTGGGTTTTTTACATTTTCCAGTCTCTTTTGGAGTTAGGTGGGGCCATGTGATGAATTTAGTGAAATAATGGGCAAATCTAGCTCATATAAACTTTCAGATTGAGCTCACATAAACTCCTCAATTGTGATCCTTTCTGTATCAGCCTTTGTTGGATAATAAACCACCACCAAACTTAGTGGCTTAAAGTAACAAACATTGGTCATTCTCACAGTTCTGTGAGTAGGCTGGCTGGTTCTTCTGATCTAGGCTGGCTTGCCTGGGGCTGTATGCTCTAGGATGGTCTTACTTACATGACTTACATGTCTGGTGACTGACTCAAAGTCGGCTGAGGTGGTGTGGATGACTTGGCCATGAATCCTTCATCATCATCCATCAAGCGATCCTGGGCTTATTCATATGACAGAAGTTGCAAGGGGAATTATTGTGACCATTTAAAAAATTTGGGATATTAATAATGACAATAAGTCTCTGTGTGTCACGCATTGTGCATTTAATACAACCTCCTAATGAGGAAGTTGCTAAAATTATCCCTTTGCAGTTAATATAACTTGTTCAGCTCTTAAGTGGTAGAGCTTGGACTTAACCCTAACAGACTGATGCTCTCATAGAAGTGGGTCCCATGTGGAAGAAGAAGCGCTTCAATTTGCCTGGGAGCTGGAAGTCCTGGGTTCTAGAACCAGATCTCCTGGAAGTAGGAAAATGAGTCAATTCCTAGACCTTTTCTAAGCCTAACACTCCGTAATTCTTAGTAATGATGGATAAATAGCTGATAGGAAATCTGTCGATTTTACCTTTTAACTCTTGTTTCACCATGACTAACCACAACTCCAACTGAGGCTCCATCTTACCTGCTTATTATGACATTTTGCAAAAATGAAAATTAGAAAAATATATATGCAAAATCTCTTTCTCCATCTGTGAATAGATGTTTGTGCTGAGAACCACCTTGGAGGTCATTTACTAGAAATGGCAGAGCCTTCAACAGCCTGGTTCTCTGAATGACTTTGTGGAGTACAGCCTTACTCCCACCTGGGCTTCATATAGAAGTGGGAGATTAACACCTTTTTTTGTTAAGCCACTGAGATGTTAAGGTTCATCTGCTAATCATCTAGCATTAATCTAGGTAATACAAGCAGATATCTGTGATTAATCTTTACATGCTTTCCAAGAGATGACAGATGAGGAAACTGATCAAGACACACCAACTGAATCATGACACAAAGGTTATGAGCATATGGCTTAAAACACGCCCAATGTCCCCATATATGGAATCCTGGGACTGGCATGAGTAAGCATTGGCTCCGTTGTTAGATGTTTTTTGTTGTTGTTGTTGTTGCTGCTGCTGTTGTTGTTGTTTTCTTTTTTAGTTCTCTGGCAAGCAAGGCCATAAACATCTTCTCAGTGACATCAGACTAGGAGGCATTAGAAATAAGAAGGCACTGGGTTATGGAAGAAGTGAGAAATCAGGGATATGCTTTACTACTCTATTCAAACCAGAGATAAAACATTTTTATAATTTATGAAACCCTAAGCCATGCAAGTCATAAAATTTTCTCCAAAGAATTCAAACACATACAACCATGGGGAGAGGCAAAGATCTGGTGCTTACAAGCTTTTATGTCAAGTTGGAAGTTACTATCAAGGTAAAATATCAGTGTTAGCAATGAGACGTTAGTACCTATAGCACTTGGCCTTTACAGCCTCTTCTAGCTAAGAATCTCAAAGAATTTCCATGAAATTTAGTCAGCAAGCCTTATAGGTCTTCAGGAAAAAAGCAAGAGATTGACATTCACTTAAAGGCCAGGGATCAAACAAAGAAAGCAAATTATCCAGAGTTAATAAAGAACAGGGCTTGGCTCAATCTGCAAGTCTTCCACAAGCAATGTTTGAGTTCCAAAATAGTTTGATTAATTTACATGTGTGAGTTATTTCCTTTTTGTCATCTAGCTAGAATTCTGAAAGCAAAAGGGTAAGAATTTCATAAAATGATCAAATCAATAGCACTCCTTTGAGATATGTGGATGTAGGATTCTTTGAAAACATCCGAGAATCAATACAAAATTTAATAGTGAGGATTAGTCTGCTTCCCTGGACTCCTTGAGATTAGAGCTAAGCATAGAGTTCCAGAGGATTAAACTCTGAATAACCAGTTTGGTAATGTTAACTAATTGTTATTATTATTATTATTATAGCTTCCTCATTAAGTACTTTCTACATGCCAGACTAAAGTACTTTACACATATTAATTTTTATTTAATTTATTTTTATAGTAAATTCATGATAAAAAAATTACTGTTATTTCTATTTTACAGATGGGGAAAATTGAGGCATGGGGAACTTAACCTGCTTCAACCTGATTCAAACCCAAGTTCTCTGTCTCTAAAGCTACCCTTGCAACTAGTATGTTACTAATACTCATCTAGGCATTGCCAAAATATATATATATATATATAAAATTTTGTCATGTTCTGGCTGCCTTGGACATTCAGAAAACAGAAAAACATTTTTTTCCTCCCCTATATAGAAAAGATCTTAGGCCATCCTGTTCTGAGTCTCAGAACCTTTACTTTCAAGAGCACTAACAATTTGTGTTTCTTAGGGCAGACAAGCCAAAGTTATTTGTCACTCAGAGTTTCACTTTCTTCATCCAAAGGTTTGTCTGAGAATCTGGGCTGGCTGCATGCTGGGGTTCAAGCAGGTAGAAGAGTCCACTCAGAGGATATGAGCTTTCTGAAGTGAGATAAGATCTTGCTGAGTTTCTGTGACTAATAGAGACCCATGTCCCCTTTGAAGCAATGCCAAAGGTGAAAAGGATTGCTGCAGGTCCCTCTGGAGGTGAAAACAACACTGCAGCCTGGAGAAGAGCAGAAGGTGCTCCTCTGGCCAAGTCTGTGGTCAATAGAGAGGTCAATTACAGGAGCCTCTCCCTGACTTCCAAGCATATAAACCTAACAGGCGGTGAAGGGCCAAATCGCAGAGTTCCATTGTGTGGCAAAGAGAAAAATGATTACAAAGTTCCCCATGGGAAGAATGCAGCTCTCCTCTCCCATTTTCCTGATCTCATGTAAGTCTCATTTAGATTTTCAAAGACCCCTAAGAAATGGGTTTCCTTAAATATAACACAATTGATTCTCACACACCTTTCCAGTAGATGAGAACTCAGAGCCAAATTTAATTTTTTGTTTGTTTGTTTTTGAGATGGGGTCTCGCTCTGTTGCCCAGGCTGGAGTGCAGTAGCACGATCTTGGCTCACTGTAACCTCTGCCTCCCGGGTTCAAGCAATCCTCCTGCCTCAGCCTTCCAAGTAGCTAGGATTACAAGCATGTGTCACTATGCCAAATAATTTTTGTATTTTTAGTAGAGACAAGGTTTCACCGTGTTGGCCAGGTTGGTCTCAAACTTCTGACCTCAAGTGATCTGCCCTCCTCGGCCTCCCAAAGTGCTGGAATTACAAGCATGAGCCACCATGCCTGGCCCAAATTTAACATAAGGAAAATAAAATATGATATTTTTTACACTTGACTATAACAGAGTAATATTCTCTACATTATAGTACTGAATACAAAATATTGCTCATGCTCTATGAATCAGTCTGACAACCTCGTAGTTGATTAGTTGCTTAAAATCTATTTTTTTATTGTGGTAAAATATACATACATAAAATGTACCATTTTAAGTGTACACTTTAGTGTCATTGCATTCACATTGTTGTACAAGCTTAAAATCAATTTGCTTGAAGGATTCACCATGGTGGCAAAGAAGAAAACTTCTAAGGGCCTTTTGATACATTTAGGGCAGTTAGTTAGAATTGACCACTTTTTTTTTTAACATTTTAAATAAAAAAGAAATATACTTTGCCATTTAGAAAGCTCAATAAAAGACTTAATACTTACTTCAGTGTGCCTGGTAGTATCAATAGCTCATATCCTGGATCCTCTTTACTTACTTTCTAGCATACAAAACAAACATAAGAAAAGGCACCTATAAAACAGCCTTAAAATAGCTTAAAAACACTTCAAAAAGTGAGATGGGAAGAGCTTATAAAAACCCATCTCACCAGGAAAGCCAGAGATCAAGTAATAATGCAAATAAAAAGAAAACCATTAACCTCTGCCTTCACCCTTGTGGGACACTGGTGAGCCTGTGATTATATACCATAATGGCAGTGACTTTGAGTAAACCTTGGTGTGACTTGTCAAGCAATCTAACTTGTATGCGATACATCACCAGATTCTAAATGGAGTCTACCTCGTTACAGAAGATTGGTAAATACCGGTATTAGTGTCAATCAGCAGAATTTCTGTCTTAGTCACACCCTTCTGGTTTCTCTCTTTTCAGCATTTCATGCTAGAAGAGCATATGGTTTCCTACCTGAGATTGACATTCGTATTTACCCATGCATCCCCATTCACCTTTTCCTCCCTAATGAGGCAAGAAATCCAAGCAAACTCTGGATCTCAAGAGCTTTATTTCCATACCATTACCCTCATCAAAAAGCATTTATTAAACACCCAATTATAGATACTGCTGTGAAAGCCTTCATCTCTGTATAAAGAGAACTATATAGATACAAACCCAATCCTCTAAGAGTTCATAATCTATTCAAAAGCCAGTGATAGGCAGAAATTACAGCTTTGACTCTTTGCTCTGGTTTTGTAACAACTCAGAGAAACTCAAGGTGTCTCAAGAAGTGTCACAAAATTTCCAATATAAAATGGATGCTTATTTATTTTAATATATCAGTGGACAGACTTGACCACTGCAATCAATATACACACATCTTAATTAGAGGCTAACAGCCACATTTTCATTACAGTCCGAGAGGATTAATTTCACACATGAAATATCAGAATCTAGATAGACTATGCACGTGGACTTTAAGGACGTGGAAGGGTGATTTTACAAAATATAGTAAATCTAAGCTTGGCAACCTTAGAAAGGTGGATGATCAATTACTAACTCGTCGCTCATGCTAATCAAAGGAGAGCCAGTCCACCAACTGCATCACATACCGGTGGGACTAACCTTTGGAGAAAAGTGGCATGGCCCTGGCCCCGGGGCAGTGACCATCTGTAGTAATGGAATAACCCTGAGTGGGACTCTTTTTCCCCAGAGGAGAGAAAACAAAACTTCCCCAAATCTGCAGCTCTTTCTGGTCAAACCAATCAGAATTCAGACCTGCACTAACCACATGTAGGCTGTGTGAACTTGGAAAAACCATTTAGTTTCTCTGGGCCTCACTTTTATCTGTAAGATGGGCATGATTATTTCAACCCATGGATTCGTTTTGAGGACTTCATGAGGTAGCTTATGAAATGTCTGCAACACCATGGACACCCAGTAAACGAGTGTCCCGTTATTTGAGTGACATAGCGTCACCCACATGTAGCTGTGAAAGAGGTCACTGACCAGAAGTCTGTATGTCTTATTTGGCCTATGGAATGTTTTAAACACTCAAATTAATTGCAACATTAGGGATAATTCCCAAAATATATAAGGAATGCCTACAACTCAATAACAAGAAAAAAGCCTGATTAAGAAATGGGCAAAGGAGGTGAACAGATATTTCTCCAAAAACACACAAAAATGGCCTACAATTATATACAAGATGATCAACATTGTTAATTATCAGGGAAATAAACATTAAAATTACAGTGAGAACCAGGTGTGATGGTATGCACCTGTACTCCTAGCCACTTGGGAGACTGAGGCAAGAGAATCACTTGAGCCCAGGAATTTAGGGCTGTAGCATGCTATGATTGTGCCTGTGAATAGCCATTGCCCTCCAGCCTGTACAACATAGTGAGACCCCCATCTCCTAAAAAAAAAAAAAAAAAAAAAAAAAAAAAACTACAATGAGATATGAGATATTACCTCACACCTGTCAGGGTGGTTATTATCCAAAAAAACTGATAACAACTATTAGTAAGGATGTAGAGAAATTGGACCCCCTGTATACTGTTGGTAGGAATGTAGTATGAGCTATGAAAAACAGTATGAAGGCTACTCAAAAGATTAAAAATAAAACTACCATATGATCCAGCAATCCCACTTCTGGACATATATCTAAACAATTGATACCAGGAACTCAAAGAGATATCTGCACCCCCATGTTTATTGCAGCACTGTTCGCAATAACATATGGAAACAACCCAAAGTTTCATCCAAGCATGACTATTATTTAGTTTTTTAAAAGAAGGAAATCCTATCATTTGCAACACGAATGAAACTGGAGGACATTACGCTAAGGGAAATAAGCCAGTCACAGGACAAATACTACAGGGTTCCATTTATATGACATATCTGTAATAGTCAAACTCATAGAAGCAGAGAGTGTAATGTTAGTTCCAGGGACTGGAGGGGAGGGAGAAATGGGGAATTGTTCAATGGATATAGGCTCAATGAATAAATTTTAGAGATCTGCTATACAACATTGTGCCCATAGTTAATAATATGGTATTGAGCACTTCAAAGTTTCTTGAGGGTAGATCACAGGTTAAGCGTCTTACCCACAAAAAAGAAAGGAGCACAGGACACTTTGGGAGGTGTTGAATATGTCTATTACCTTGATTATGGTGAAGGCATCATCGATGTTTGCATATGTCCAAATTCATCAAATTAGATATGTACAGCTCTTTGTATATCAATTATATCTCAAGAAGTCTGTTTTTAAAAATCAGAAAAACTTTCAAAAAATATAGATTTTCAACTTTTGTTTAAAAAGTTGAAATTTCTGAGAAAACAGCCATATTTTCCATAGGCAATCTATTCTCTGAATGCTAAAAAGCACAGTCTGCTTTTTTATTTTTTGTTATTATTTTTGATAGATAAATGATTGTATACATTTATGGAATATTATGTGATCTTTTGACACGTATACAATGCGAAATGATTAAATCAGGCTAATTATCATCTTTATCATCTTGCTCATCTAGCATTTTTAGAGTAAGACATTTGAAATTTGCTCTTGGTTATTTTGAAACATACAATACATTATTATCAGGAGTCCCCTTTAGAAGAGGCAGGTCTTCTTTAGGTCACCATAGATCCCACCCAGCAGGCAGTTCTAAATCTCCTCATGCTCCAAGCCCCTGTAAGCATTTGAGTTTGAAATCCTTGATGGAATTACAAAGATCCTGGCTCTTCAATAAGATTAAAAAAGAAAAACATTCTTTGGCCCAGCTAAAAACAAGAAGCTGCTTATGTCACTTGTCTGGATTTGTAACTCCATAACAAAAGCAAAGCAAATCTTTCTCCTTGTTTCTTGCTGTATTCTCTCTTCCACCTCATCTTAAAAAAAAAACCTTCCTAGGTAGGTTGACTTCAGCCTGCACACTTGGTAAGGCCTAGGAAATCAATGCATCA
The DNA here is from genome assembly GCF_000001405.40 of Homo sapiens. NCBI lineage: Eukaryota > Metazoa > Chordata > Mammalia > Primates > Hominidae > Homo > Homo sapiens. The sequence continues at coordinate 78,505,128 of NC_000014.9, read as the reverse complement.
TTCTCCCTGGATTAGCTTGTTTGATATTGACCCATTCCACCAGGCAGAGAGATAAAATGTGTCAGCATATGGTCCTGTTTGTAATGGAATGGTCTTAATGCTTGTTAAGGCTCTAAATGAGCTTTGTGTAACCTTAGGGCAAAGGCTCAGAGATTTGCCTCATTGTGTCCTTGTCCTAGGGAGTTGCTGAGGGGTGGGTCTAAGAGCTGTGACCCTCTTGTCGGGCCCGGATGGAATGGCCTAGTAAGTCGGGCCCACTTGAAGGTCTATCTTTAGACATCTTCTGTAAAATGGGGCCATTGCTAAATTTCTATGAGGACTATTTCACACAGTATACGTTAAGCACTGAAAGCACATAGATAGGGTGTGGCACATAGTGGGAACTTCGCAAATATCAGATCACTGGCCATCATATCAAAGGACTCATATGATTAAAGAAATGACCACTATGAATGGGTTTTTATCACCATGAGTTTCTCATCAGAACTCCCAGGAAATGTTTCTCCATAAATGGTTTGAGGGCTACCTTTATCAGAATTACCTGGAATGCTGGTGAAAAATACATAGTTCCTGAGGCCCCTTCCCCATACACAGAGACACAGCATACACACCATTATCTCCTCATTCATCTCTCCTTTAAGAACATCATGGAGTTAAAGACTTAACAAAGAAAATTCTCTTTCTTCCCATGCCCTAAGTAGTAAGTGGTTTTGCCAATGAGCTAGAGAACAAGTCATCCTTCAGAAAGTTACTCAGCTAGGGCTAGTCACATATACCTCTGCTAATGTCAGTCAATAATCAGCAAATTGAAGATTTTGTCAGAGTCTGCAGTTGTTGTTTCCAGAATTATTTATTTAACTGGTGACTGCTGTCTTTGCAAGCACCCTTATTACAGCAGGAGCAATGACCAGTTTCCCTTTCTGACCCCATATTCAACTAACCAGGGTTTCCCAAAGTGTGTTCCACATAACGTAGTCTCAGGAGTACCAAAGTGTACAAATAGATCAACCAAGGATGGGAAACTAAGAACTCTATTCCCCTCTTAGCAATTCCTATTATAATTTAGCATATAAAGGCAGTGAGAAATCCTGCAGTAAAGACTCCTCCATTAAACTTCCTTTCATTCTGGATTTGCCATACTTATGTGACTAGAGAACTCTACTTTTGTGGTCTCTGGATGACATTCTTCTAAAAAGATTTTTATGAAACACATTCTGGAAAATAATCAGGGTAACTATGTAACTTATCACGCAAGTCAGTCACTTTCAAGTGAAAGGGGAGAACCACTGATTATCATGCTGGAACAACACATGTAAAGTGGGCCTGTCCTAGAGAAACTAGGACATACGGTGACTCTAGTATGATGTTCCTCCTTTTGTTGGTTGTCACATAATGTCCACCTTCAGGCTTAGCCTTGTCCTAGGCCCTGGGACTAGCCCTGCCTCTGGTCAGGAAGAATGAAAGAAGTTCAAGACCCATGAGCCCTAATCCTGATCCTGCTGATGGTGGTCCTGACCAAGCCCCTAACCTACACATACCTCAAAGCTTACAATTCTCCCACTGCCTTGCCCTGACCTCATGCCTGACCCCAAGTTATTGCTTTGGGCTTGCCCCACACTGGTCTGTTCTGAAGATCACGATCCCAGCTGACAACCTAGATTCCTACCAGACCTCTCTGAAGCCAATCAATCATCTGTCTCCCCTTGAGCCTCTACCTCTTGCCTGTTAGAATCTGCTGGTTTCTGGATATTCACCTGTTGTCTGTTGTTCTCCTGGCCTTTCCTTCCTGGTCTCTTTGATTTGCATTAGTCTCCTGTGCAGTCTACAAATCCCACCATCCTCTTAGCAACCAAGCCTCGCTTTATTTTTTAATTTATACAAGTAGCTTTTTAAAAATAACCTAAGGGCAAACAAACAGTCAATCCAATATTTTGCCCTTAGGTATTATGCTAATGTGCCAGGATTTGCTACTAACTAAATAAACAGATTGCAAATAATGTCATTTAGGCAGGTAAAATCTATTAAATTATCAGTAGACATTTACCCATCCTCATATTTCTGCCAGTGATGTTTAATATAAAATAATATGGCACTGCTTTCCTCCCAAGTAACTACACTCCTCTAACACAAAATTTATCCTTAGATATCATCTGATGCAAAAACAGTACTTCACAAATACACATAGAATGTAGAAATTGCCAAAAATCACACTGGACACAGACTCATGGCACCAGGCCATGGGAGAGAGATCTTAAGAGCAGCCAACCACTGCTACTCCCTTTCCCAGCCATTCTGTATCCATTTACCCTCTGCCTCCTCATCTCCGTGTTTGAGCACTTTGAAATTTCCAACAGCATATCAAAGGAATGGAAGGGTGAGGGAGATTAACCCTTGTATGGTATTTCTTGCAATTGCCCTAAGCAGCTAATATCATATCAAAGTAGCTAAGGTAAAATTGGGTCCATTTAGATTGCAAGCCAGAGAGTAAAAGCTGACATTTTTGACAGGCAAGAAAAAAAGTGAATATAACAAATGTAAAATTATTTTATCAAGACTTGTGCATCTCCAGCTATTGCTATTCAAATACAGAAAAGAATATTCATAGGCTGTAGGACTGGGTCCAGTAAGCAGACTTATAGCATTGTTACCCAGCATGCTCAGCCTGCAGCTCGAGACCTAGTGGCTCCCAGGAGGCAGCCAGCCTGAAGATAAGTGATGGAATGTGTTGGCTCAAGCATGGCACATATATTAATTATATAAACTATTATTAATCCTAAACATGATTTATTTTCTAGGCACAAGGCAGAATCAACCTATGTAACAAAGCTATTGCTAGGTAGCAGGCAGATCATGAGGCTCTTGAGTGAGCCTCTCAACATGGCAGGGTGTTCCTGTGCTGGGAGAAGGAGCTGGGAAATACTGTTCACGTGATTGTCCATGAGGCTCTAGCAGGGACTAGGAGATGGACAGGCCTCTCAACACGGCAGATATTTCTGTGCTGGGGGAAAGAGCTGTGAAATACTGGTCACGTGATCTCCCATGAGGCTCCTGCAGGGACTAGAAGAGGGATGATGACATCTGTGCGAACACATCTCTGGGCCTTTGTGGCTTTCTGTGGAGATCCAGTGTTCTGTTATAGTTCTGTTATAGGAGATCCAGGGTCTGCAGTAGAACAGACCCTGGGGGGGCTGCATAGAAGATCTCTAGGCCAGTTTATTCATTTGCATAAGGCCCTCTAATGTCCTTTCCAGATTTAATATGTGATAACGCTTTGTAAAAAATAAAATTCTTAGTTTTGGCATCTAATTCCTTATTCCATGCTTCCACCCCCTGCCCCCAATCTCTGTGCTGATACCACAGAAAATATAAAAAGGGTGGACAGCTATGAATGTACAAGAGGTAGCTCACGGGTAACTCATTGTGCCTTAAGAGTCTCCATATCAGATACCTTCCAGAATTGAAATGTCCTTCTGCCCATGGTAGACAACTTCTATAATGGCTCACAACAATCCCTACCTCCTAGTATTTGTGCCCAAGTATAACCTTCTCCACCTGAGTGTGGGCTAGACCTAGTAAGTAGCTTTTTTTGAATAGAATACAACAAAAGTGATGGGACATAACTTCCAAGTTTAGCTTACCAAAGACTATAGCTTCTGTCTTGTTTATAACTCTCTGGCTCTTCCCACTTGCTCTCTCTAGTAAAGCAAGCTGCCATGCCATGGGCCGCTCTATGGAAAGGTCCACACGGTGAGGCAATGAGGGAGGGATCTGGCCAATAGCCAGTGAGGAACTAAATCCTGCCAACAACCGGGAGAAAGCTTGGAAGCAGACCTTTTGCCAGTCGACCCTTAGGATGACTGCAGCCTTAGGGGACACCTCAATGATAACCTTCTGAGAGATTCTGAGTTACAGGACGCAGCAAGGGTATGCCTGAGTTCCTCCTCCATGGAAACTGTGAAATAATAAATGTTTTTGTCTTTAGCTGCTAAGTTCAACAGTAATTTGTTATGCAGCCATAGATAACTAACATAAACTGCCTTTGTGGAAGTTGCATGTCATAAGTAAAAGAAAGGGAGAGGGAATCAACTAGGAGTGGGGCAATAAGAAAGGCTTGATCATCTGCATTTGCCTGTACTCTCTAGCCTCCAAGAACAATAAAAAATGAGCTGTCTATTCCCATTAATGATAGATGAGAAACAGAATAAAGATTTGGAGAATAACGTTTGAGCACATAAGTTTTTGAAGGCTGGGACTGTATCTTATTGTAACCCCATCACCTAGCACAGTAGCTGGATCATAAAAAATGCTCAAAAGTATTTGCTGAATAAACAAAGGAGCAGATGAAGCCCCATTTCAGTTTAAATAGTATTGAGTAGAAACATAGGAATGAAAATAATTATAAGGGAGCTTTTCCTGACACCTCTACCGCCATGCAACCATCCAGCTGTCTTCTCTTAGGACCCTAAGGTGAGATAGTAAAAGTCTTTCTCAGTCAGATGCATGTAGAGTACTATCCTGTACTTTCAGCTCATCTATTTGGCGGGGGTTGGCAGGGGGTATCCGTGGAAGTCTAAATATTCAGATTTACTAAACATGTAAATGGAGGACTAATCATCCCCACTTTTTTACTGTAGAAGGCAACTTCTCTTCACAGTGTTCCTTTAAATAGGAGCTCCCTAAGGACCTCCAAGTACTTGCTTCCAGATCATTAACCATTTAACAGAGAAGCTGAGAAGAAAAGGAAACTTAAAACTGTTCCCTTTATTAGAGGCTACTGCCCACTGACAATCAATCAGGGGAAAAACAAAGCATCTCTGAAACTGTAGCATTCATTCATGGAAGGACAGGTTTCTATTTATAAGGGGAGAAAAAGTAAAGCAAAACTATACATTTCTAGAAAACTTAAAATTTCCAGAATTCTGCTGAATAATTAAAGCACCTCTGTACCATTCAGACCTGTTCTAATAAATTGAATTCTCTGAACTGAGGTTAAAAAATAAAATAAAATTAGGCAAAATAAAGCATCTAAAAGACAACCCACAGGTCAGGCATGCTATGGCAGACTACGATAGCCTCAATGGTCCCCACCTCCTGGTATCACATCCTTACATAATCCCTTCCTTTAGAGTTTGCGTTGAACTTGTGACTTGTGTGTAACAAACAGAATACAGCAAAGTTGATGGGGTATCAATTCTGTGATTACTTTATATAAGATTGCAACTTCCATCTAGTTAGCAGGCTCTGTCTCTCTCTCTCCCTCTCTCTCTCATGACTTTGGTGAAGCTGCCATGATGGGAAAGCCCACACGGCAAGAAACTGAGGGCAGCCTCTAGTGAACAGCCAGCTAGGAACTGACACCTTCAATCCCACAACACTCCAGGAATGAAGTTGTGCTTACAACCAGGTGAACTTGGAGGCAGGTTCTTCTCCAGTCAAGCTTTCAGATGAGAACTCAGCCCTGGCTAAAACCTTGATTGCAACCTGTAAGAAACCATAAACCAGAGGATCCAGCTAAGCTGTGCCCAGATTCCTGACTCTTAAAAACTATGAGATAATAAATGTGTGATGCTTTAAGCTGCCAAGCTTGTGGAAATGTGTTAAACAGCAAAAGATAACTAATAAAGCATTATAATTTTAATTCAATACAAAGTCATAAAAAGTTATGAGCTAGTACTTGTTCTCTGTTATAGTGAGCAGTGGGAAGGTAAGGGAGGCCCCGATTATCAGCTGAATTAAGATTGTTCTTTGCACAAAAAGAAATGTGAATATCTTGCATTAGGTTTAGGGAAAATGATGAGAAAGTCCCTGAGACTTTACAGACGGACTTTAATGACCCATGTGAAAGAAAACTAACATTTGCTCAGTGCTTATCTGTGCCAGGCCTGTGCTAGGCAATTACCTACCTTCATAAACATGATCTAGTTGCACCTTTATAATGACATTATTCACAATAGTAATAGAGGTAGTATTTAAAAAATTAAAAATGAGGAGGAGAAAGAGAAATAATAGCTCACATTTACTGAATGCTTATTATGAGCCAAGAATTTAAGCACTTTAAATATATCATCTCATTTAATCCTCTCAACTTCCAATGAGGTAGCCTGTAATTATTAGAACCATTTTACAGCAATAAAACTAAGGTACAGAGAAGCTAACAACATTGCCCAAGGTAACATGACCAATAAAAGATGGAGCTATGAGCTGACCAGCCACAGTGGTTCATGCCTGCAGTCCCAACTACTTGGGAGGCTGAGGCAAAAGAATCACTTGAACCCAGGAGTTCAAGGTGAGCCTGGGTGATATAGTGAGACCCCCATCTCAAAAAAAAAGAAAAAGAAAAGATAAGAGCTATGAACCCAGGCATTCTAGCTCCAGAGTCCCCCATATTTACTTCTCACGTGCTTCTAAAACCCACTAAAGTCACCACTGAAATTATCCCCTTAAATGTGCAATTTTTCTAGAGGTACTCCATTGCCTTTGCACTAAGATGAGTCATAACAAATATAAGTGTATGCACCACCACTGTATCTTGCAAAGCTGCAAGTCCTGTAAGCCAAACATTTATTATCCCTACCCCCAACCAGGTGTTGATATTAAACATACCATAAAGTCAAAAAGACTAGCCCTGTCTGCCCAAGGTTAAACTCTTCCTGGAATACACAGAAAGGCATACCTAGTTCCCTACTGGGATCCCACCTGTCTGGCCTGCATATCAGGATGGAGTCCCAGAAATGTCAGACAAGTCATTCGCACAAAGGCAGAAATACAAACCACAGAACAAAAGAGCCAGTCCCAGTAAGAAATCCCTTCAAATGTCCAGGCCAGCAGAAGCAGCCGGAGGATCATCTCCCTCTGATATTCTCAATTGTTCTTTCTCTGCTCCCTGTCCCTGGCTCACTGCACCAGTGACACTCCCATCTGGCACTGGACTTCTACAGACACACTGAACACTTTTCAAGGGCAGGGAGTTGCACCCATTCCATGAAATATATACAGGGCATTGTCCATGTGCCAAGCACTGTGTTAGGTGCTAGAGACACACCTACAGCCTCCATTTCTCAGAAAAATATCCCCGTCTCCATAATACTTAACACATACTAGGTCCTTGATAGGCTGCTGGATGAACTGCAAAGGAATAAACTGATGAAAAAGCGAAAGGGGAGATGATTGAATGCAAACTCAAACTACTAAAACTATTCCTCCGGGACAAAATGAAAAGGACTTGAATTAATTAACTTTGTGATCCTTATAACAACTCTTCGATACATTTGATTACCATTCTCATCCTACAGAGGAAGATGCTGAGGCTCAAATAACAAAACTTACTTAAGGTCATATAGCTAAAGTAATGGGCAGAATTTAATTCCAGACAGTCTGAGGCTACATACAGCCTATATATCTAACCATGAAATATATTGCCTCCCAGTATGACACTTGACACAAAATAGTCCCTTTAAAAATGGAAATTTGGATGGAAAGACAGATGGGTGGACAGATGGATAGATGGATGGATGGATGGATGGATGGATGGATGGATGGATGGATGAATGGACAGACAGATTAATGGATTTACTACACAGATCTACAGCAGGAAACAGAGCAGCAGATAAAATGTGGTGTCTATTTCCAGGTTAATGAGAACAGCAAGTGATAGCCTCTCTCTTTATAAATCAATACAATTCCCCCAAGGCTGGGGCTTGTGGCTTTTTTTATTATGTAGGTGGTGGGTAGGTACATTCTTTAAGAGGATCATGGAAAGATGGCAAGGCAGATTTATAAGTTAAAGGGTAATGAGGCCTCAGACAGTGTGATTGCATAATTTCATAACCACCAATTATGTTTGTGGCTATATTGGCTTGAAATAATGACAAAGTTAATCAAAACTTATGCTCAAGAGTAAAATGTATTACCGTTTCTACTGTCCTTTTCCTAGGCACCACATACCCTTGCATTTTTCCATGAAAATGTGCAATCAGGAAGCTTGGAAGAAACAGTAGTTTGATCTAGATCCTACAATGCCTCATCAGGAATAAATAGCCACTGGCCCAGTGTCATGGTGGGTGAGGTCTGTTTTGCAGCAAGTGATGGCATAACTTATCGAAAACTGGAATCATAGGGCAAGAAACTGTTCTTGGTACATTACAGAGGCCAACACAAGCATCTTAAGACTCAAGTTAACTCATGCTAGTCACATGAGTTAAGACTGCTCAAGACTCTGCAGTGGCTCCCATTTTAACTCAAAGTACAAGTTGGAGTCCTTCAGGGGCCAAAAAGACCTACTATGCTCTGGCTCCCAGTAGTTAACTTCTCCCTCTTCCCTGCATTCCAGACGTACTGGCCTTATATTCCCCAAATAACGACATAACCAACCCCTTCATCTTTGGATTCACCTATCCTCCTACTCAGCACCTCTATCCTCTTACCCTGCTCAGCTTGGTATTCTCCTATAATCTCATAATCTTCTAACATACTATAAAAGGAATTTACTTGTAATGTTTATTGCATTGCCTCTTTCTCCTTTTACTAAAATGTAAACTTTACAAAAGGAAGGATATTTTTTCCTCTCTTTTTGTTCCTGAAAGCATTCCAGGTTCCTAAAACAGTGTCTGGCACATAGCAGACACTCAATTAATATTTGTTGAATAAATGAACACGGTTTACATTTCCAATGAGAAAGAAAAGAAAATCATCTAATTAACTCTCCATTCTTAGAGAAGTGGTCTTCCAAATTCAAAAGAAAATATTTTACATCCAAACTCAAAATATGTAGGAAGAAAACTCAAATAAAACATTTTTTTCAAATCTACAACTGTATTAATCAAAGTCTGAAGAAATTTTGTAGGCTGACCTTTATTTTTTTCCCCCAATGTCAACTATGATCTGATGAGTTAGGTTTCCCCTCTGGCTTTCACTGTATAATGTTGAAGAAGCTAAGATGGTTGGCGTTCTGGCATTCTGCCTACAATGTTAAAAATAATCAGAATAAAAATTAAATACATAAGCAATGCCTGGGGACTCTATCCAGGTCATTAATGGAAATTGTATTAGTATCTTGTCCCTCCATTTTCTTCAATGTGGTCCCCATTTGTCAGGGCTCAAGGCTTCACAACTCCTATAATCAATGTGCTACTTTTGCTAAGACTGTGGTACCAGTAAATAGAAGTAAAACATGCCGCTGAGGCATACGTGAGGAAGATATTAGGATAGATGGATGCAGTGGATGTCCTAATAGACAGTGATAACTGATTTGTCATTTTAGCAAATTTCTTTGGGAAAAGAGTCTGTTCAGACTGATGGGGGCAGCAACAAGGGCCAACAGCCCTGGTGCTGGTCAGAGATCCAGAAGACTGTCACCTTCACTAACTGGTATGTGGTGATGTTGGAACCTCAAAGCACTCAATGTCTCCTTTTCTTCCAGAAAGGGCCAAAATGACCTCCAAATGACAGATTTCCTATCAAGGGCATATTCCTGGTCCCTAATATAAGAAATCAAGAGTTATTTCAATTATTCACCCCCCACCTTCCCTGAAGATTCGAGATGTCACTAAGGAAAGTCTAAGATGTGTAGTTTTTGCTGCAACTTAGTGGAAACATTGTTCTGTTACTCACTTAAATTATTCAAGCAAATTAGTGTAAAGCCTGGCACATAGTGTGTGTTCAACCAATGCTACCTCAATTCCCCTTTTTCTGCTCTGATACACAGAAACATTCTGTGTTGCTATTGGGATCTCTATGCCTTGTTTTGAAAAACAAGAAGTCATTTTTTTATTCTGGCATTTGAGAAACCACTTAGTTATCTTCCTCATAGGTAAAATTGGCCATGATTATGTACTTCACTTCCTAAGATCAAAAGCCTCTTTCCAGATGTCTAGAAGCTGTCAATTTTGCTCATCCCAGTAGAAATGGAATGAAAAATGGCAAGAAAAGCTATAGTGACATCTCAAGTATGTACCAACATGCAACTTCACACACACACACACACACACACACGCACGCACACACACACCCCACATATACAAACAGTTTGACAAAAAAAAAAAAAAAGTCAAGAATATTTTTTCCCCAGGGTACACCAGGGACCTTAGAAAAAGTTCTTGAGCTTTTGAAAAGAAGCCCACTAGGCAAACACTTCCATATTCCATGAATCAATCCATCCTGCTTTTCTTCAGAGTGAGTTACTCAGAAGAACCTGGCCCCATATCAAGAGGCCAGTCTGATTAAGTTAAAGAATTGGTAAAAACACACCTCACTCTGAGGCATCTCAGGCCATTAGGTGGTATTCCAGACCGTTATTTCATTAAAGAGAAAATGATGGGATGACAGACAACAAAAAGTCTGTGTTAATTTTTAATACCAATGCATTTACTGTATTTGGGTGGCGATTTATTCATGTACTTCATAATAAATACATATAGTAAGTAGCCTGGAGATATCTCTATCTGAATCAGGGCAGGAATCACATATTTTTTTGGGCTGGCTCTAGACAGAGGGATGTATCCTAAGTAATTCAGACATTAGTTTGTGGGGCTGCAAATATTCTTCCAGTGCTACAGCCACCTATTGTTTCATCTTCCCCCACTTCAACCCTTACTTTAGGTTACAGCGAGACCATTCATTTGTGAAACCCCAGTTCTGGTGACTCAGACATTTTTTGCCTACTCCCTTATCAAGTTTGAAAAAGGAAATCAGACAAAAAAAAAAACAAAACACCTCTGGTAGGATTCTTTCAAGCCATGAGGTCTTACTCCCTTTACCCAAGCAACAAAACACGCCAAATATGGGTTTCTAAGTGATTAGGACTTGAACATTTCTTCTGACCCTAATTCCATTTGAATTAAAGAGAATGACTAAAAACCAACTTCCAAATACCTATATTGGACTAATGACTTGGTGACCTAAGTGTAATATATTTTACATAGCAACAGCTCCACGAAGGTTGGTTTTAACAAATATTGATGTCAATAATATCTCAAAAAGTACAGCTTAAAGGAAAGCATCTCTGCTATGGATGGGGACTAGGTTTTCACAATTGTGCTAAGTGGTTCTTCTGGCAGCAGTCTCTTTAAAATGGCTAGGACCAAGGGACAAAAACACTGAGATCCATCTCCCAGAAAAGCAAGGGAAAGAAATTACTATCTTTCTGCTTCCTCTGTAGGCATCTCACATATAAGAAAGGACAGTTTCCCAAGCTGAGAAATCATTGCAGCGTGTTTACTTCAGTCCATGCTGGCACTGTTTTTAAATGCTGGGACAAAAAAATCTGGACCTTAAGTAGGTTTTGTTTTATATTAGCCTGGTTTGGTGTAGGTGTTGATTTTTTGTTTGTATTTATTTTATCCTGCTTTGGAATGTACTGAGGTTGGGGGCTTTTGAAATGTTTTAAATTCCTTTTTGCTATAGCACTGAAAGTCATTTTTTCTCTAAGTATCTCCCCTTCCAAGCTAGTATCCCCTATATGAAGCTGAATCCATTAAATACCAGCAGGATGAAGAACCACAACTTTCCCCTAAAGAGGGTAGTCCAAAGATGAAATCTATTTGTCATTCCTCCTGGCTAATTCTTTTTATTTATTTATTTATTTATTTATTTATTTATTTATTTATTTGAGATGGAGTTTCACGATTGTTGCCTAGGCTGGAGTGCAAAGGCGCGATCTTGGCTTAGTACAACTTCTGCCTCCCAGGTTCAAGTGATTCTCCTGCCTCAGCCTCCCAAGTAGCTGGGATTATAGGCACGTGCCACCATGCCTGGCTAATTTTTTTTTTTTTTAATAGAGACAGGGTTTCACCATGTTAGCCAGGCTGGTCTTGAACTCCTGATTTCAGGTGATCCACCCACCTGATCCTCCCAAAGTGCTGGGATTACAGGCATGAGCCACAATGCCTGACCCCTCCTGGCTAATTCTTAATCTATTTTTGTCTGAAGATCATCTATAAAAACCTGAAGTGGCTAGGAGTTGGGATGAGGACACAAAACGCACAGCATCCCCAGAAGAACGTTGGCAACTGGGTAAAAGTCAACCATCTGTAGCAATTCCTGGTCACTTTCGAGGCATCCTTTGGATCTGGAAGCATTATCGGAAAGGGTACATTCCTCTAAAGACTTTCTATGCAGAACCAGAACTGGTGAAGATAAACATAAAGACAAAATCAGAGGGTTAAAAATGTAAAAATTAAGCTGATTGAGTCCATACAGGATTTCCAAACTAGTTTTTATACTTGGCAAAGCTATGCTTACACATAAACATATGCTTAGCTTGAACACATAGCAAGATGATATTCTTCTTTGCCATTATAAATGTTGGCTCTTATTATTATTCAGAGCTTGAATCCATGTTTAAAACAACAATGAAGGATAAAAGACAGACTAACACCACGTCAGAGTTTTTCTTACCTGCTATCTATGTTACTTAATGATATTATCCACCCAGCCCCTACAAGTGTTTATATCTGGGACCCCTGGCTGGAGTAGAGTGTATCTGTAAATAGCTTTATACTGGGGTTGTGGGGTACAAATGGCTTATGTGTGTGTGAACACCCATTTATATGTCATGTTAGAGATTTTGGACTTGATTCTTGGTATGGTAACATTTATACTATACCAATACTAAAACTAATATATCTAAAAACTATACCTAGTGCTTTTTAAAATGCTTATCAAAGCTAGGAACTAATATAAACTATTAAGTACTTTATATGCACGATCTTATTTAATTTTCACACACTCCTTTGAAGGCTTTCTTTAGAATGTTAGAATGTCTTTTTTATGAAATAATGTTAATTGACGGTAATTATTTTTAAAATATTTTCATTTAACAAAAATTTTGGCAGTCCACTTCTCAATATAAAAAAATCCAAAAATCTAGAGATTATGCACTAAGATGTACCACTGCACAGCCACCTGCCCCTCTCATACTCTATACCTTGGATAACTGGAAAGTAAAAGGAGTCTCTGTTCTTAAGCGTTTATCATGTGATAGACCCATAATGTATGTCATATCTATTATTTTGTTTAATCATAGAGATAAAACAACCCTAAAAGGTTATTATTATTTATTCCCAGTTTTGACTCATGAGGAAACAGAGGCTAAGAGAGCTAAGTAACTTGCCCAGAGTCAGCGTTGCCCACATGGTAAGCAGCAGAGGCGGAATCCGAATCTCAGCACCTTCCTGGTCCCAAACGTCACATTCTTTCTGCAATATCCCACTAGTCCTAAGGCTTCCACAGTCAGATTTGAGAGAGAAATTAGTAATTTTATTTAAAAAGGTAAGAAAGGAGGAAATTTTATAGACACATTCTCAACTGAGAATTTCATAGACTCTACTTAGTGATTCATAGATGCTACCTTTTGACAGGAGAAAGCAATTTGAATCGCCCACATCTATGTGATGTGGAGATTATGTGTTTGGTTTGGAGGTGGGGAGCTGGGGTTCTCTATCAGTATAAAAATGAATTCTCAGCACAGTCTTTGTCCCCAAAGAGTTATAAAATACATGATATCTGCCAGATATTCCGTTTCATGCCTGTATATTTGCGTATATGTAGTTGTGTGGGCATAAGACATATTAATTTGTTATTCTGACAATGACAGAATGCTAAATCTGGAATTTCTGTCTCTACAATAGACCTGAGAATACATTCCAATCCAACAAGCTCCTGGGAGGCTTGCTTGTCTGCAAATCTTCCTTCCTCTCTGCCTCACTCCTCGCTCGCTTCATTCAGAGAAGACAAAGAGCGCATCCCCTGCCCCAACTCCCTCTGGACATCATTGGCCTGTGACCTTGGCCACATGGTAGTGGCAGGAAGGACTTGACCAGAATCTCATCCCTTTTCCCTCCCCCTCTGAGTGGTCAATGAGCTGGAAAATGAAGGGCACAATGCAGGTTTACGAGACTCATAATTAGGTCACAGCTGATCCCAATTCCCATCATCTGGCAGCTGGGGCCTGTGGACCAGCTCACGCCATCCTACCAGTTTCCAGGAGAGCTTAGCTTGAAAATGTCCTTTCTTCTTTATAACTCTTCCCAGCCGACCGGCAGCAGCAGGTCCAAGGGGACCCAGCAATGCAACTCTTTTCTGAATAGGTCGAAACACCCTTGGAGAGTGGGGCCTGCTGTGGGAAAACTTCAGAAGGAGGCACATGCAGAAGAAAGCAAGGGAAAGGAGATGGTAGACCGGCAAAGGGAGCACTCAAAGAGGACAAAATACCGGTCATCAAATATTTTGGGTCAGCTATGGACAGAAAAACAAGAGCCAGCAGGTAAAAATTATTACCCCGTGACCTAGGACAAGTTACCTACTCTGTCTGTGCCTTGGTTTTCTTGCATGTAAAATCGGAATAATAACAGTACCCACCTTATAGGGTGGCTAAGAATAATAAATGTAATAAATGTTAATATATGTAAAGTTCCCAAAGTGGGTCTGCTGCAGAGTATACCTTACATGAGAGTTAGCTTACTGCTATTATTATTAGGCAGACTTGGGCTCAATGCAAACATTTTTCTGTAAAAATTAAAAATTATATATACATGTTTTTAAACAATGACTTTCCTTAAAGGGTAGTAAGCTCCCCACCACCAGATGCATTCAACTGAGGCAGGACATGGGGACATAGAAACAAGCATGCAGCAGGGATGCTGCAGAAAAGATTCATACATGGGTACAGCAAAACCAAGAAAGTGATAATACTATGTTTTCTGGCTCTTCAGCATATTCAGAATATTTTTCCTATATGATTTTGTTTTCAAAGCCAACCTGTGAAGTAAGTAAGGTAAGGAGTATGCCCACTGTGCATAAGGTAAAATAGAGGCTCAGTTAAGCCTAGCGTCATGTCCAAAGTCAAACAGCCTTACCCAGAAGTTTAGAAAACTCAGGCCGGGTGTGGTGGATCACACCTGTAATCCCAGCACTTTGGGAGGCCGGGTGTGGTGGATCACACCTGTAATCCCAGCACTTTCGGAGGCCGAGGTGGGTGGATCACAAGATCAGGAGATCAAGACCATTCTGGCCAACTTGGTGAAACCACATCTCTACTAAAAATACAAAAATTAGCCAGGCATGGTGGCATGTGCCTGCAGTCCCAGCTACTCAGGAGGCTGAGGCAGGAGAATCGCTTGAACCCAGGAGGCAGAGGTTGCAGTGAGCCAAGATCGTGCCACTGCACTCCAGCCTGGGTGATAGCGTGAGACTCTGTCTCAAAAAAAAAAAAAAAAGTCCAGCTCTCTGTAAATCTCCAGAGAGCTCTTGAGTGGCATCTTAGAAACTGCTTCTTTATCCATCTCACCACCATGCCTCATCTTGGACAGCACCTCCTGATTGCCTCTGATTTCTCCATGTAGCCTCCCACCCCGCCCAAATTCTTCCCTCTCAGCTGAATCCTGACATCTGCTTCCCTGAGCTTCCAAAATCACAAATTTCCTCACCTAATCCCTCATTTGTCTGTCAACATAATTTGTTTACCATGGGAAGGGGAAGAAAATAGATTTTATTCTGAGAAAAGATGAAGTTTCTGTTGCAGCTTAGCTTGAGTTTTGACTTCTAAGATTCAGGAAAGAGGCTTGGAAATCATAAAACCAGAAAAGCAAAGGCCTTCAAGACAGTAGTTATGCCCACAGAGAGGAATCAGTGAAAATATCCTCTGTGTGTGCGTCCCTAGCTGCATACAACATACTTTCCCATTCCTCCCTCTAAATTGCACATCCACAGGGCACACTTACATTAGCCAGTCTGTCCCTGTCTCAGAACTGGGGAAAGTTAAGGCCAACGTCAACCACTTTGGCAAGGAGGACAGTGCTGGGTTCTGTTTCAATAATATCTCACAGAGGCGTGGAGATGAACAACCTGACAGCAAATAAGAGCTTCAGGTCCATAAACCAGATTGTCTGAGAGAGCGAGTCAGTTATTTTCTCATTCATGATTTCCAATGGCACACACAAAGCTCAAGTCATCAGCGTCCCTGGAGAGACATTTTCAGCCTGTGCACACATTTGTGCTCATTAATGTTGGATGGTTCTCAGCTATCCACACCAAACCTCAATACCCAAGCTCTCCCTCTCCAGGGCCTCCATTTACTTTCTCTTCCTGTTTGCATCTCTCTGATGTAGTCACTCTTATTTTCTTAGAAGCAGCTGGGAGTTTCCTAAGAGAGGGAAAAGCGTGAACTCTCTTTTTCAATCCATGGTAAGTGCTACCTACACTAATTTCTCTCTCTTCTTTACCTCTCCCTTTCCTCATCTCTTTCCTCCACCCCCTTCTCCTCTTCACTCCCCACTCCACCTTTCCCCTCCCATTCCCTCTTCATTTCTTCTCCTCTCCTCCTTTATCTCCTCCTCCCTTCTCCTCCCCCTCCCCTTTCTTCTTCTTCATCCTCCTCCTCCTTTCTTTCTCCTTCTTCTCTTCTTTTGCCTTATTTCTCCATCTCCCTCTTTCTTTCATCTTTCTTCCTTTCATGTCTTTTCTTTTCCTCCAACAAACATGAAAAATTTCCCTCAACACTTGATTCTTTCTCATCCTACTCCCAACTTTCCTTCCCCCCACCCACAATATTTTAGTAATAGTAATAATGTCCTCTGAAATATCAAAATAAAAGAAAATTTACAGAGCCATGATTCTTTTTGCTCACCTTTTTGATTTTTAATGTAAAAGCAGCTTTCTAAATTAATTTCTAGGATGTTACGACTATACCTAAATGCAAACTTCTAAAGCAATCTCTAGAATTGCAGAGCAGGGCTTTAGATCATAGGGATCAAGTGTTTTGTTTTTATCATTTAACAATATTCCTCATCTTGTGTTATGAGTTGATTTGTGTCCCTGCCTCCTACCCAAATTCATAGGTTGAAGCCCTAACCTTCAGGACCTCAGAATGTGACTGTATTTGGAGATAGGTGATTTTTAAAGAGGTGATTAAGTTATAATGAGGTCATTAGAGTGAGCCCTAATCCAGTGTGACTGGTATCCTTATAACAAGAGGAAATTTGGAATGAAGAAATACCAGGGATGTACACATGGGGGAAAAGTCACGTGAGGACACAGGAAAAAGATGGCCATCTGTAAGCCAAAGAGAATGGCCTTTGGAGAAACCAAACCTGCTGGCACCTTGGTCTTAGACTTACAGCCTCCAGAACTGTGAGAAAATGAATTTCTGTTGTTCAAGTCCTCCAGCCTGTGCTATTTTACTATGGCAGCCCAAAGCACACTGATACACCCTGTGAAAAATAGGGCATTTATGAAGTAAATACAAGTATTTACCTGTATTCTCTTTTGCATTTTGAAATTTGAAAAAAAATATATTCCATGTCTACCGAGTCTTTATTCTTTAAGTTTCAGGACAAATCTATCTTTATTTATTTATTTATTTATTTATTTATTTATTTATTTATTTATTTATGAGATGGAGTTTCACTCTTGTGGCCCAGGCTGGAGTGTGGTGGCATGATCTCAGCTCACTGCAACCTCTGCCTCCTGGGTTCAAGCGATTCTTATGCCTTAGCCTCCTGAGTAGCTGGGACTAGAGATGCATGCCACCACACCTGGCTAATTTTGTATTTTTAGTAGAGACGGGGTTTCACCATGTTGGCCAGGCTGGTCTTGAACTCCTGACCTCAAGTGATCCACTTGCCTTGGCTTCCCAAAGTGTTGGGATTACAGGTGTGAGCCACTGCTCCTGGGCAGGACAAATCTTTTTTGAGGCAAAATGGACAAAAATACACTAAGACAAACATTTCCTTGGCATTTTTTCTTGAAGTACTATCCCCCAGAGATAAAGCCATAATTCCAAGGGCAGCCAGTGTTCTGAGCACCCAGGAAGCCTGCCCTGGCCTCCTCCAGAGTTGCAATGACACAAAGCCACTTGTGTGTCAAAAGGAGCTCTTCAGGGTGGAATTAGAACTGATTTAAATTATTCTCCAAAAATATCAACCAGATTCCACACAGAAAAAAAAGTCATCTGAGAAACTAAGCACAGAAATTTAAACACTTTAATGAGTAAAAAAATAGCTCATATCATAGATCTAAAGCCAGCCAATACTGGGTACATTCAGAAGGTCAGCCAGACCATAGCAGTGACTGGAAATGAAGGATTATCAAAACTCAACCATATGGGGACATACAGGCCTACGTCTGCTCTTGGGCACCTCTTGATTCTTATAGGTCTCATTCAAATTGTAAATTCCTTTGGAAGCCCCTTTGCTGTGTAATCTTGAGGTCTGCACACAGAAGTCCTTTACATCTGTTTGGTGGTTAGGAAATGAAACAGAATCTCATTGGCCCATGACTATAATCAATACCCCCACCTACTTTTATAAGTCTACCTGTGCCCAAATAAATCATTAATGCCAGTGATAACAGCCTCTGACATCACCCTCTAATAGACAAAACCATAAAAGTTCACAGTCATGGACAGAGCTTATGTGATGTAGTTATCTCTAATAAGCTACTGAGGACAAGGAAAAAACCAGATTTAGGGTCTCATTTGTGATCCTGTTGTTGCTTTTTCCTTAAGCCCACTCTTTCACCAGACAAGCCCAGGCTCTCAGTGGCATCTCTTCCACCATCCCAGGGTGGGAGAGGGAGGCCATCGCAAGGGTTAACAAATCAATTTCTATACACGGACTCTCCTCTGCCATTGTCTCCAGGAAGAAGTATTTCCACACTTGCCTCCTATGATCCTCCAGATCAAAGAAAAACCAAAGGCAAAGACTGAATGGGCAGAGTGCACACATACCTGGACTATAAGTTAGCCTTCTGAGAAAAATTACAGACCTCCCAAAGGAACAGGAGGCATCTCATGTTAACACTGTCCTTAAAAGGTTATGTTGAGTCACACCAGGAATGTAAAACATTCACCATCTACCTCCCAACTTGGACTTGGAGGGGCAGGAAAAAGGTAGGCCCCAGGAGGTCATTCATCCAGGCTTACATTCCCAAAGGATCCCTCAACACTTTAGCCTTCCTTATTATAGCAGTATTTAAACACTCACAAAAATAGTAAGTACCACCATAAGCCTATTGCTCAGCTTCAACAATAATTGTCCACATGGTTTCATCCAGCCCTCTCTTTGTTGTGGTTCCAGAGTATTTTAAGAAAATACCAAACATTACAAATTCAATCTTTTGTTATTATTTCCAAATCACTCTGCAAATATAGTCACCACTGATGAGAATACAAAAAGATATAAGCTGTCATCAAACAACTCTAAACTAGTATTCCGACACTTGTCTACCTGCCCATACTGTAGTGTGAATTAATAACATTTCTGAATTCAGTGATTCATATTTGGTGACTACACTGCATTGAGTTTCTGTTAATAGCAAATAATTTCTTAAGTGTTAACATTCAAAGGTTATTATAACCATGTTCTTTGCATTTGCTTTGCCAATAATCTAAGAACTTTGAAACATAGAAGAGATAAGAAAATGAAGGAGAAAAGGAAAGCAAAGAAACAAAAGTAAAGAAAATAAAGTGGCCAAGGGCTCTCTGAATCTCTCAAACTTGTCTTCAGTGAAAATTTCATAGGGATTAAATTCAGTGAAACAATGCTGATGTAATAGCAACAATTTGTTGAGCATTTACTACATGTCAAGCACTACTCCACACCCTTAAAGGAGAAAACTTGAAAATGGAGATTGCTTTATTTCTCTCTGTTTATTCTACAGTGCTTGGACACAGGAAGTGCCCAATTAGTGTGTGTTTATTGTAGTCATCTGAAGACGATATAAAAGACATACAGCCTGGGGCCCTTACAGAAAAGTAGAGAGGGGAGGTAGATAACTTACCAGCAGCACAAAGGTAAACTTTGGCTCTGGGGGAAAGGGAGCAACTTATTTTGAGGAACTTATCCCTTTTTCTTCCTCCAGTGGCTTTCTGTCTGCCTTCTTGAATCTCCCAACCGGGGGACACACAATTGCTTCTTTTTAGTGTGGTTTTATTAATAAATAGATGTGAAGTTATTCTATTTACATTATAAAGTATGCAGTCACCAGCTGGCTCAATCTCTCCTGGAGCCAGGGCTCCCTTTGGGCACCTCAGGCTATAATACTGTAGCCTTGAGACTCTGCAGTGGGGGAGCTTTGACACAGTAACATAGACAGGACCAAGGATGAGGCAAGGGAAGAGTTAATGCATTATAAGGGTGACTGAGCCCATCCCAAAGGAGTGTGCTGGCAAGGTTCATTTTTTATACCATTTTATTTATTCTGCACTAATTCACAGTCATTATCATATCCGGACAAGTGTCTCATGCTTCATTTACTGACATTAATTAATTTCCCCACCCCTTGCTTTTTATCTTATTTTAAAAGAATGAGAGGGAAATATCCCATTCTCTTAGAGAAAGAATACAGGTCTAACAGTGATCAGCGGCTGCCTTTCTCTAATGCAGCTGAGGACAGGGAAGTACACACCAGATCACTGGTATGCTTACTAAACCATAGCTGTGGCTAAACCTTTTACCTCCCATTATGACCCTAAACCCAAACCCCAACTCCCAGTCTCTTCCCATCTTCAAGCTCCATGTTCCAGTACCACTCCCTCATATGCAGTGATTTACAGAGTGGGTAATAGGAGAGAATGGCCAACCTGGGACAATTCTAGGCCCCCTCTCCCCCAGAAAAAAAGAAACTATCCAGTCATGACATGGAGGAAAGTAATACATGCATTAAAGGGATCAGCTGATAACTGCCCAGGAGCACAATTCATACTTCCTGACTCAGCCCCTGAAACCTGCAACTTCACTGCACAAACTAAAAACCCCAGCTGGGCACATCTCTGCATGTCCTGCCTGCCTCTCAAAAGGGTAGTAGGCCAAAGGGCTGGAGAGGTAAGTTAAATTGAAAACACCTAAGCGTCCCCACTAGAACCATTCATTGGTGTGTGTGTTTCCTTGTCATTTACTCTGTTATTGAATTACACAATTCCCCAACTGTATTATTTGTCATTATCTATTATTAAACTCTGTGGCACTAGTGTATTATTCCGCAGCTGCATTAACATTCTGCATTCCTGGCAGTCTACCTGTATTAATAATTCTGCC
Organism: Homo sapiens; assembly: GCF_000001405.40. Taxonomy (NCBI): domain Eukaryota; kingdom Metazoa; phylum Chordata; class Mammalia; order Primates; family Hominidae; genus Homo; species Homo sapiens. The sequence continues at coordinate 78,484,099 of NC_000014.9, read as the reverse complement.
TCTTGAATCCAGAACAGAAATGTATCTTTATGATGGCTATTCTTTTTTTGCTCTCTCTCTCTCTCTCTCTCTGTGTGTGTGTGTGTGTGTGTGTGTGTGTGTGTGTGTGTGTGTGTGTAAGAGCATCCCTTGGTTTATGCTGAAAAATGAATGGCTTGCCCTTCTTCAAAAGGAGGCTTCCACTGAAAAATCGAACCAGCAGTCTAGCTAACATAAGCCATGAGCTAAAACTGCCATAATTTAGTTTGTAACCTTGGTAAGCCATACTTCTCTAGGCCTCAGTTTTCTCATTTATGAAATAAAATTGTTGGGTAAAATGAACTCTAGGGTCTTTTTAAAAAGCTCCAGAGTCCTCCCCTCTCACCTGGAATTTCCCAAGGCTGGAGGAACTCCCAGGCATTCTGAATTCTAATTCTGCCTAAATTTTATTTTTTTCTCTATGCCATTGGAAAGAGGAACAAAACTTTGGTTGTCTCTCATGTCCACTGCATAGATCAGACTCCTCCTTTGTATAAACTAAATGCCTTATTAGAATTCTTAAGAAGATATAACTGAGAGCCAAGTTATTGGATAATAGTGAACACGGTTTAAATAGTAAGGATTATTAGTAGTTGATTTGTTGGATTCTCTCTTGGAGTCACCAGTGACATGCAGTTGGTGGAAAGCTCTAGCCTCTCCTTTCCGTAACTGCTAAGTCTCCATGCTGAAGTCAGTAAGAAAACCTTAGCTGTGACACTGAGCTAATTACTAGAAATAGGAAATGGAGAGAAATTTAAGAGTTGCTAATTCATTCCCAAAAAGTTGAACAGCAGATTAACAGTAAATGTAAACTTTCCTACTGCAGATGCAGACAGAGTCACGTAGAAGGGGCTCTAAGCACTTCCCAGTTTTGTGGGGTTTTTTGGGGTTTTGTTGTTCTGTTTTGCTTAAGCCAAAGTCTTGATGTGATAATAGTCATGATCACTAGTTCTCTAGCTGTCTTTTTGTGAGCTCACTCTTCCCAGGACTACTAGAAATGCCCTTCATAATCAGAAAATAAAACAGAGCATGCTCAAAAATTTAAAAAAACAATCTAGTGGGGAAATGAGAAGTGTTCTCAGATGCTGGGGATGGAGACAGGAAGATGGGTACTAGAACACATCAAAGACAGGCAAAGATCCAAAATAACCTTTAAAGCAGAGTACGGTGACATCTAAATCAGAACTGCAACCCAGATTGACTAGTAACCAATGCAAAGCGTGAGAAACAACATTAAAAGGAGTGAGGGGGTAATGCTGACTAATTATCAAGCCTGTCACTTCTGACACCTGTGCCTTTAAAAAGTTAAGAAACTTCCTTCAAATTATCTTAAGATTATCCACAGGAACAAATCCAGAAGGTCACTATGCTTGTAGTCGTATTGTCTATTCTTTCTGTCAAAACAGAAGTAACAAGTCTAAAAATATAACCAATCAAATCAGTTTAGTCTAAAGTCCTTGTTGAAGTACATGAGACAAGTACTAAAGAATATGATAGTCTTGAATCAGTCCTTCAGTCAAGCCATTGACAGGTATTTATTGAGGTCTTATAATGGGCTCAGCACCGCTACGTCCTGACTGCATTTCAAGATGTCTGAGAGAGAGAGGAGGGTCTAGCCCCAGCTATTTCATTGTCTCCCCTTGAGGACTCAAACAAAGCATATGATCTAGTTTGACAATATTTATCAAGCTTCTATTATGAGACAGGATAGCCCTGGGTATATAGGAGAGCCAAGAAGTAGCAAGAATCATTGTCTACCTCAATGGGGCAGATCAAAGGAGTGATAAACAAGTATACAAATAGCACTTAGACAACGCATATACAGTAACTTTGAATAGCCTCCGTTTCCTGATCTGTAACATGGAAACAATATCAGTTGACAAGAGTATATCAGCTATGTGGGCTTTGGAGTTTGAGAAAAGATATAGTAGTCAGCTGATATAAATACATCCAAAGTTTTGCACTTGTGGGAAATGAAATTAGCTCTTTGGTCAAAACTCAAAACTTTTTCTTGGGATTTTACCATTTGTGGTGGGTTTCTGTGTTTCACAGGGATTAACTTTTAGTTGACTCCTTGATATAAGGAATCCCTTTATCATCTTATCTACATGGATATTATATCTTGCTCAAGTGATTCAGGCTCTTGGGGCAAAAAGATGGGGAGATACCCTAAAAAATAAGGGGAAGTTCAAGAAATAAATATTTCCTAAAAGAACTCTATAATATAAAAGAGTCTTGAGTTCAGGGGCAGGATAAGCAAAATGCCAGATGACTCTGAGGGCTGTAGGAGGGGATATCCTTTCTGTTTGTAGTTATGTTCAGCTCAGGTTGCTGCCACAATTTTTCTCCATAGAAAGTATTCATATTGTTTTTGGTATGAAGATAAAAAGGCTTGAAGATTGCTAGCTCTTTCTCTTTGTGATTTTCCATAAAGAATACCTATCACTTCTCCTCCTGTCTGTGCAATTCAAAACATATTGCAGTCATTCATTTTGATGGTCAAAACCCTCAGACTTTGCCTGGGCTCTTCCAGGATAGTGGGTCTCTGTGACAGCAGATAAGTCCATTGAAAAAGCCCCGGCTGTCACTCCTGAATCACCATGAGCCTTAATAAGATTTCTCCTCTAGCAAGACTTTCTTTCCTTCTTTCTGCCTGGGAGAGGATTCTTGAGTGAAAGCTAATATTTTCGCAGGTAGAAGGAAATCCGAAACATGAAAGAAAAAGAAATAATCCTATCCTAGCCCCTGTGATTCAAAACAGTGGACAGTTAACTTGATAAGAATGTCCAGCTATATTCTAAATCAGTTAAGACTCATTTTGCACAGCGTTCCCCTACAGAGACTATCATTCACCAACAAAATTTTGTACAATTTTTGTCCAGACCTCTCTCCCTCTTACCTGTGGACTCTGAGTTTTAGTTAAAAATCATTTTATTCAGTTCTATTAACCCCACACTTGCACACCAGAATATAATAGAAGACTTGTGTAGGTTTTTATTCTTTACTAACTTTCTACACCACCACCTGGCTGTGGAGAGAGAAATATGGATTGGCAAGGTTTACAGTGACCACCCCTTCCCTTCATGCCCACTGAAATGGCCACAGAAAGAGGTCACAAAGGAGAGACAACGTAGAGGAAAGATGGAACATGGACTGGTAGGGGAAAAGACAGACAAAAGAACAAAGGGAAAAAGAGGAATGACAGTAAGCTGGCCAAGACAGGGAAATAAAGGGGAAGAATACTTAGCTAAATGCAAACTTGACCTGGTCCTCATTTTAATCATGTGTCTGCTCCATTTTTTAATAAAAGGGGGAATAGTATAGAAAGGGACAAAAAAAGCTGCACAATATGTAAATGAGAAAGGAGACAGATGTATGTAATAATATTACACCCTTAAAGGATGTATCCTGAACATTGCCATTTTAGCCTACACTTATACCTAGCTATTAGGACACTGACTTACAAAATGTGAAAAAAATAGTAAATATATAGCAAATTGTTTATTAGCAACTCAGGTCAACTGTGAAAACAATTTTTATACTTCATATTCTCCAATCCACTATTTCTTAAAATGAGATTCCTGGACCCATTGTATAAGAATCTACTTTTGTTAAATAAAGATTCCTGGATGCCACCCAGAGCTGGGACTCTCTGGAGCTCTGACTTGGGAATCTAACTTTTAACAAATACCCCTGGTAATTTTAATATCCTCTAAAATTTGAAAGATGCTCCTCTAACCTTTATACAACCTGTGCTGTGTGCAATTACCTAATTATGTTGAATGTGCCAAGTGTGGTTTTGAAAGTTACCTCTTGAACATCTCAGATGCAATGAGAATTGCAGCCACTATATAAACAGGTGAGTCTGTTGTTATAATATAAGCCCCATGACGAAGCTTATTTCTCCAAATTTCTTTTTTGGGTTTTTTGTTTGTTTGTTTCTTTGAGGGTCTCACTCTATCATCCAGGCTGGAGTGCCATGGCGTGATCTCTGCTCACTGCAACCTCCGCCTCCCAGGTTCAAGCAATTCTTCCTGCCTCAGCCTCCTGAGCAGCTGGGATTATAGGCATCTGCCATCATGCCTGGCTAATTTTTGTATTTTTTAGTAGAGATTCACCATGTTGGCCAGGCTGGTCTTAAACTCCTGACCTCAGGTAATTTGCCCTCCCTGCTCTCCCAAAGTGCTGGGATTACAGGCGTGAACCACCATGCCCAGCCTTATTTCCCCAAATTTGACTACTGATATTCCTCAGGGTACCTAATGCAATCCAATCTATAGAGGTTTTCTTCCACACACACACAAAATATAGCATAAAATAATTACAAAAACCTTCATAGGGTCACACATTCAACTTATATAAAATAATATTTGGAGCAAGATAAGAAATAAAACTATTAACCTCCACCATAGTTCACTAGCGTCCAAAAGAAAAACTGGAAGAGCTCATTTAAAATTGCAAATTCCTGGACATTCTAATTCAGTGAGTTTAGGGAGGTGCCCAGAATCTGCATTTTAATAAGTATGTTCTGGGGACAAACCTTACGAAATGCTGACTTTGTACAACCTGAATTGTCTTGACCTCAATAGTTTAAATCAACGTTTCTTAAACTGTGGTCCCCAGAACCAGCAGTATCAGCATCACCCAAGGATGTGTTAGAAATACAAATTCTTGGTTCCCATCCCAGATCTAATGAATCAGAAACTCTGCCGATGGAATTCAACAGTCTGTGGTTTAACAAACTCTCCAGCTGCACTTTGTTTATATCAGCAGTTAGAGGAGTGGTTCTCAACTTTGCAGAACATTAGAATAACCTGGGGAGCTTTAGAAACCCCAATGCCCAGGCCACTTCTCAGACTCACTATGCCTCTTGGGAGAGCAGGTGGGGGAAGGTCCTGGGCATTGGTAATTTTTAAAGTTCGCCAGGTGATTCTAATGTGTAGCCAAGATGGAAAACTGACTTAGAGCAATAATAATTTTCTCACTTATGAAGCACAGGGATAGTCACACCCTAACTTACATATTGTAGCACATTGGTTTGCTATAAAAAATATTTACAATTATCCTAGTTCTCTAACTGTGTTTTGTTCACTATAACTTCTTGGACGTTGGTGATATGACAACTAACACATCTCTGCATAGAGCTTGAAGGAGGATGGAAAAAAAAGAGACACATCTAACTTGCAGCTAGATCAAGTTAAGTACCTAAAGTGATTGGAAAGTGGAAGAGGCTGAGTTTCTAAAATGCTCCTTCAGCTATGAGCTTCCTACCTCTAGATCAGAAACACACATAATGTAGAAGAGAAAGCTACCTACCCTCGGTCTTCTTTTTCCAGTCTGCCCTCAACCCCATGATTATTTCCACCATCAACCTTGGTGAGTGGGCTGGGAGTCACTTACCCTTCTTTAAATTGCCCCATTTGTGTCAAGGTTATTTTGTACAAAATGATAAGCATTAGCCATTAATTCTCTTCTGCATCTCCTACATTTTCCCCAAGACTAGGCTCTTAGAAAGGCTTTCTCTTTTTTTTCTGACTTCTTTTTTAAAAACCTTTAAAACATAGTTACCCTGTGGGTTTGTCATGCTTTTCCATCCTCTAATCTGTGAGTCAACAGAGAGATAATCAATATTATTAATAAAAATGACTTGCTATCATTAAAGAGAAAATGATGCTAAATTCTGTATTTTCCTCCAAATTAAGTTAAACTTCTTCTCCTCCATGAAGCATTCCATGTTGGCCCCACACAGTATTAATAATGTTCCTTTCTCTTGATTCTCATAACTACTTGTCTCTGTGCACTGCAGTATCTAGTGCTTAAGCGTATACTGGCTCATACTGTTTGAGTTGTATAATATAAAGCCATTTTCCCCCCAAATCACTAGTAAACTTCCTAAGGACAGACATCATACTTCTGTTGTATCCCAACAGAGCAGAAACGTTTGACTATCATGATACCTATTTTCCAGAATATCAAAACCATTAAACCCTGGCTTCTCAGCTATATTCTTCAAGTTAGAAAGCAAAACTATGATCAACATCCTGTCTCTCAATTCGGTCACTATGTTGAGCCTAATTTTCACAGATCATAAAGCATATTGGCTCAACTATGTGTGCGTGTATGTGTGTGTACATGAGTCTGTCCTTTCCCGTTAGCCTGTGTATGTGTGTGCGTGTGTGTGTGTGAGACAGAGAGAGACATAAGCCTGTTTCCCTACCCTAATGGTGCTAATGTAATGCCTTAGAACTTCTATGAAAATTAAACACATTCTAGTTTTTGTAACTCAATCTTTGTTCTTGTTATTGCCTGCAACTTTCTGCTTTTATCCTTTTTAATTAATAGTAGGATTTAAGAAAGATTTTTCAGATATATTCAAACATTTTTATCATAAGAAACCAAATCTTGAAATTCAATTTTAATAATTGAAAAGACATTTGTTCCTTATGGGTAGCATTTGCATTTTAAAGTTATTCAAGGCTGAGGGAGTTTGGAATTTCAGAACTGATTTGCATTGGTCATGAAACAAATTTTCATTCTAAAACAATATTGTATTTTGAGAAGTCATGCTCCCTTCTTTGGAGAAACATAAGGCTTAGTGATTCATAATGTGAAAGTTGCTAAATTTATATTGGAGAATAAATATACAATACACTCAAATATACAGTAAACTTACATTAAAGATTTGCATTGCATTTTCAACACTAAAGTTTCTCAGCAAACACAATCTATCCACTTGATCTTTGCATATACATCTGTAACCAGTGTAAAGAGAAAGGTATTAATACTTCAGAGAGGCATGAAATGTAGAGAATGAATGAGCAGAAAGGCTCTGGTATATTAACTGGGGAAAAGAAGACCCAATGGTATGGAAAGTGATTCTCCAGACAGCACAGAAAAAGCAATGGAAAAAAGAAAAAGACAATAGTGAAGACCTGCAAAAAGAATTGCTTCCCTTCCCAGAGACATAGAAGAGAATTTGGGTGATATGTGAACCCTAGATGGAGAATACAGCAGAGTGTACAAAGTTCCTGTATGGACAGGGGTTAAAGAGATTGCAGCACCCATAAAGAGAAACTGAAGACAACTAAGGGCATTTCCACTGGCTGCTGCAGAGCTCAGATTGCATGGAAACTAGACACAGAAAAAGATCACCCCAAGATCTTGAATACGAGCCCAAAAAGAAACATTTCATCTAAGGTGTTATGGAAGATAAATGGATCTGCAGACAAATATTAACTAAGAATTCCCAGTTACTACATGAATCAACACGCTTAATGACTGGCATATTGCTATATGGTATTTTTGTTAATTATACTAACATAAAATTTTATTATAATAACACTTGCCCTGCATTTTGAATTATCTCAGGGGTGCTGGGGAAAAGAGAACTAATTACAGGAAGAAATTCATATTATAAATCAATTGACTTAAATATTACACCTGTCTCTGATGAAAGAACTAGACAATATTTAAATGGAAAGAAAGATAGTTTTGTAGGATTTATATTTGTTCCCCAGGTCATATATATGAAAAACAAAAAATTATTTCTCTTCTTAATTATTCTAACCAGACCCCAGCCCCTCATGGTTTATAAAGCTTTACTGGCCTTTCTATTCCTAGATCTGCTGGGTCCAGGGCCTTCACCCGTGTGCCCTCCCCACTTGGCCTGTGATGCTTTCTGCATAGCTGGCTCCTCTTTGTCATTCAGATTTCAATTTAATATCACCTCCTTGGAGAGGAATTCCCTCAACCAAACTAAAGCAGCCTTCCCAGTCACTCTACCAGTTCTCCTTAATTCTCTAGATAGCACAAATCACTATCTCATATGTTTCTTATGTGTCTTTCTTTGTTTATAGTCTTTTTCCTGGCCTAAAAAAATTAGGCACTGTGAAATTACAAAACTTGTCTTATCACTGTATCTCCATTGCCCAATACTGTGTGACACATAGTAAGCACTCAGTAAGTATTAGTTTAATGGATTTGTCAAATTATTATATATAGCAATGTCATTGGGAATTATATTTACTTTATTTTTACTGTGTATTCCCCTCCCTTGCTTTATTCTTCTTACTGACACTAATCACCATGTGACATTGTACTATGTACTAAGTATTTGCTTATCCATTATCTATATCTTTTGCTAAAATATAAGCTTTATGTCTACTTGGTATACCTTATTATCTCTAGTACCTATAATAAGTACTGGCACATAGTAGAAGTTCAATAAATTATTCTTGAGTGAAGCCAGTAGTTCTATCATTCTTCTTCCTCTTCTTCTCTAAGCAATGCACAAGCAACTTGCTGCTTTGCTCTTTGCCATCAAATGTCCTCTTCTTGATCATGTTGTTGGCTCTGTGTCTGCCACCCTGACATTCCCAGGTGTTCTTAGCTGATTGTAGCAGAGGTGTTTGGTAAGGCTGAAATACTCTTTGTCTGCCCTGTTATTTGTCAGCGGTAATTTGTAGGCTTTGGCTGTGCTCTATTCAACTCTTATTTACATTTCACTCTCCAGTCAGACACTCATTAATGCCAAGACTGTTTTACTATCAATACCACCTGAGATACTTGAAAGAAAGAGGGAAGAGGTGAGAGGAGAGCTTGGCAATAACCTAGAGTCACTCAACTTCGAAAGTCATAAAGCAGTCAGCACAACATGCAACATGCTCTGGGTACCATGAATCAATTCCCAACCAGGCAGAATTCCTGGCCACTTCAGATGAACTTGCCCCTATGTGTTAACACATCTATTGTAAGCCTGATGCAAGCAGCTTACCATGCTAACCTCTGCGGGAGTTGCAAAATTAAATAGCATATAGGTCCTACCTCTAAGAGCTTATCATCTGAAAGGGGAATATCCACAAAGATAATGCTAATAAAATGCTTTTTCACACCTGTCCAGTCTCCCTGTACCCCTCATGCATGTCATCAGTTCACCTAGCAACTGTCATTCATGTACCCCTTATATGTCACCCACTCTATCGGTTAAACTCTTGCTACTGGAGATTAAATAGATATGAAGTCAATACCTTGCAATTAAGTTAGGCTGTACCTACAACAGTGTATATCAAAGTGTGGTCCCAGATCACTTACATCAAAACCACCTGGGGTACACTAGACCCACTGAATCAGAATCCCAGAGGCAGACCTAAAGATCTGTACTTTTAAACACTCTCCAGGTGATTCTTCTGGATACTAATATTTGAGAACCACTGGACTAAAATGTATGCAGGATGCAAAAGTACTTCTGTACCTGGTATTAGACCAGTTCCTTGCATATATTGATGCAGTATAATGATAATCTTCCAAACTGTTGCTATTGGTCAGCAACCCTATCCCCTCTCTGCCTTTCTAGTAGCCCTTATGGTAGGGAACTTTCTACTCTCTGCACTTTCTTGAACTAATATGGTATGCAAACAACATTGGCAACTATCAATTCCTTCCTGATATTCATGCCCTTAGCAACCAGGAACTTATTTTTAGTTGGTGTTCTGAGACCAAGAAAAAGATCATGGAGAGATGCTAAGCAAATGACTATAACTGCCATAAGTCATAATTCTCACCCCACATAACTTGATAAGTTGAGCCAGCACAGTGGGTTCCAAATGCACAGACTTAGAATCCCTAAGAGTAGAAAGCTGGTATCCACATTTTTAATAAATGCCTCAGGGATGCCTTTTAGCAGTTAATATAACATTGGTCCATGGACCAACAATGAGGAGCCAGTGATCTGCTATAAGGTCTGGGACAGCTATCCAGCTCCTAAAAATGGGAGCATCACCCCTTGTTATGTACACTCCAATATAGGCTTAATCACTTAACCATGAAGAATGGTGGCTCTTTTTTCTAAAACTACAAATAACCAGAAAGTTAATTACACCATTCCCTATCTCTTACTCTCTCTTCTTATCAGATGAATGATAATTAGTCCTCTAAGCTGGTTTTTCAGAGGACCACTAATATTACAGATGGACATACGTTTAATATGTCTTCATACAGTAGCCAGGCTCCAAGCAGGCCTCCAGTGAGTCTTCTTCCTGATATTCATGCCCTTGTTGTAGGCCCCTCCCATAATGTTGAGAGCTAACCTGTGTAGTCAACAGGACATTGAGGAAATGACAGTGTGACATCCCAGGGTAGGTAACAAAAGACACTGACACTTACACGTTTGCTCTTTTGGGTCCCTTGTAATAGGGGAGCATCTGCCTCATAATTAGGACATTCAAGCAGCCCTTTGCAGAAGTCCACATGCAGAATTAGTCTTCTACCAACAGCCAGCACCAACTCACCATCCATTTGAGTGAGCCATCTTAGAAGTGGATCCTCCGGCCCCAGTCAAGCCTTCAGATGACTGCAGCCCTTGCTATCATCTTTACTATGATCTCAAGGCAGAACCACCCAGATAAGCCACTCCTGAATTCCTGATTCACAGTAACTGTATTAACAATAAATGTTTATTATTGTCTAAAGCCACTAAGTTTCATGGTGATTTGCTACATAGCAGTAGCTTATACACCTAGTTTAATCCAAGAATGACATCAGAGCTCCTAACTTAGGACTCTGTCTGTGGCCATAACTCAGCAGGTATCCCAGATAAAGTTACTTCTTCCCTTTCTTTTTTAATTTAGTCCATTAAAAAGAAGTTTCACAAAAGAAAGGTTTTTCATTTTTTTTTTTTTTTTTGAGACAGAGTCTCGCTCTGTTGCCCAGGCTGGAGTGCAGTGGTGTGATCTTGGCTCACTGCAAGCTCCACCTCCCAGGTTCACGCCATTCTCCTGCCTCAGCCTCCCGAGTAGCTGGGACTACAGGAGCCCGCCACCACGCCCAGCTAATTTTTTGTATTTTTAGTAGAGACGAGGTTTCACCATGTTAGCCAGGATGGTCTTGATCTCCTGACCTCATGATCCACCCACCTCGGCCTCCCAAAGTGCTGGGATTACAGGCTTGAGCCACCACGCCCGGCCAGAAAGGTTTTTCTTTTAAAGAGCCTTGGTAACAGTCCTACTGTATCAAACAGGATTGGTTTTAAATGAACATCCTTGTACCTCTCTCTACTTGCCAGGGGAGTTGTGAGGCTTAATTAATTACAGATCTTTGGATGAAAGGAGCACTGAGCACTGAGAATTATCATCAAACAGGACCAGGGAAAAATGAAAAAAAAAAAAAAAGACATTTTCTCTCTTTGCTGGCTAAATCCATTTCACCTGAGACTTTGCAAAGGCTGAGTCACCTATTGTTTAGAGAATATTCCATTTTTGCTGAGTGTGGAGTGGAGACAAGCCAGCACAGTGGCAGAATAGGGAGCCCCTGTCCTTTATCTTAAAATAGGCCCCTTTCCCAAAATAAACTCCAACGCTTCTTTTAGAGGACAGTGTGGCCATTTGTATCATCTGAACTTTTAAGGAGGAACAGTGAGATGAAATAGACATGTGATCTAAGCCTCATCTAGCAGACTACCTCCATGTGCATGACACTTCCTAAACTGTGAGCCAGACAACTCCCATGGATGTGGATGTCTTCCCTGAGCAAGCATTAAGTGGAGAAAAATATATTCTTTGGGTTCTCTTCAATGTTTTAATGACACTGCTCCTGCCAGAGGAAGCCCAGGAGGGTAGAACCAATTTTCCACATAAGAACAAAATGGTGTTTGGTAGAGAGGATAGGTAGCAAAATGGGAAAATTACTAAATGTTGTTGCCAAGATTCAAGAGTTCAAATCTGAGCTTCCCCACACACTAAACAAATGACCTTGGTTGAGTAAGTGACTTAACTTCCCCGATCCTTAAGTTCCTCACAGTAAAACATATCCCCAGGATATCACATTTTCCCTCCAGCCCCCACACCACCTCCACATCCCAAAGACAGTGACCAAGAAAGAGGCAAAACTACTTCATCTGGCCATAATAGTGGGAGTTTCCAACACTGAGGGGAACTTAGGCCTCAAACAGTAAGCTGTGTCCTAGATCTTGCTATCTTGCTCTTCAAAGCTCTTTGAGGCTTTCTCTTCTGATGCCTGTCTTTTCCTACAAAGCACAGAATTCTGGCTTGGAAAGGCTTAGGTTCCATCTTTTACAGCCACTTTCTTTTTCGGGGATTCTCAGCAGGGATGCAGAGTTTGGTTTCCCTTCCTAACCAAAATCAGAAAGGTAGGTTTGACTTTTCTTTTAGGTTGGTTCAAGTCCACCCAGCTTCTCTTTGTGGTGCAGCCCAGTTCACCAAAATCCTGTTCAGTATTTGAGGGGCCTAAGCCCCAACTAGCAATAGAGTGTCCCTTTGCATTGTTTCACCCTCTCTGTGCATAAATTTACCTTAGTACTTTCTAGGGGGGTAGCTGATCTACAGAATTATACAAGTATGCCTAGACCAATGGTATCGTAATTATGCCTGGATATTACCATTACCTATATCACCAGGCTGTTGTAATGATCAAGAGAAATAACGAGGGTAAAAAAACTCATCAACATTCAACCCTGGTACCCAGGTTAGTTTTTATTATAGTCCCAGGAGGGTCAGTACCAACCATGCCCTAAAGCAAAAAAAGCCTGCTCAGTAAGTAAATGAAGGAGAGGGAGCAGACCTGAGTGAGACTTCCCTTCCTTTGGCCACAATAGGTTAGACCAAGAAAATGTCTGATGGTGATCAGGCCCTGAATTTATCTTGTTGATTCCAGTAGGCCTAATCATGCTGACGGTCATTGCTGCATGACTTTGAACTTTCTCCAGATTCCAGAGCCAGAGGTGAATTTCTTGGGGGTGTGTGTGTGTGTGTGTGTGTGTGTGTGTGTGTGTGTGTGTTGAGTGTGTTGAAGAGAAGAAAGGGAAGAAAGAGAAGAATGAAGACACTCACGAATCATGTACCAGTTTTATTTTGTTTATAAGATGTAACATGAGCTCTTTCAATAAGCTTGTTGATTTTTATGAGAATTTCCAAGGACCTCCTCAGGATACCAAGTCCACTCTGTTCAGTGTGCCAGTGCCATGTCCCTCCCCAAAGAACCACTCTACATCAAATCACATCAGAGCACTCATTCAGAATGAAGGCCTTGTCATTACACAAGCAAGAACAAGTCTAGGTTACCCAGGCTGAGTATAGATTAGGATTGGCAGAAAATTCCTGCTTTAGAACTAAGTCCTGAGTTCCAGGGTTGGTTTTGACACTAGCTATCTGACCTTCGGAAGGTTGCTGTCAGAAGTCTCAATTTTTCCATCTGTGAAATGGGTATGTTAACACTTACCTGGTCCAGTACCCCAGGACAGTTGTGAGGATCGCATATAAAAGGATTTTTTATACTGTAAAGTGCTTCAAAATGTAAAAAAGCGTGATACTAAACATTGTCATAGATGAAACCATATTTACACAAATATCTCTTCTTTATTTCCTCCCCATCTCCATTTCTCTTCTCTTTTCTATCTTACTATTTATCTATTGTATTCATTCTTCCTCCTCTCTTCACTTTGCCTCAGCTTATATCTTAATGTCAGATGAACACAATACAATCCATATGTATTAACCAACCAGCCCCACTGATATACAAGACTGACATGAAATGGTGATTCCTCATGCAGAACATTTTTGGAAACTCTTTAAGGAAAGGTGTATCTCTTGATTACTGACGAGGATTATGGAGCAAAGCCTCTCCCACCGAGAAAAGAAATTGCCCCAACTTCTCCTCTAAGTATAATATTTGAAGCAATAACTTTGGTAATAGCTCTAAAACTGTTTATATAAGAATCACCTACCCTTTAAAGAAGTGAAAATTCCAGATGCCTGAGTCCCATCCTCAGAGAACTGGGGTGGGACTCATAAATATGTCCTTTTCACAAGCCTTCTCCCATCCCCAAAGGGATTCTCATGCCACTCTGAAGAAACCCTGAACCCAGGGAAGATTGTCAGTGTCATACCTAACAGGAGTCAACTTCTCTCTTATGCAATTAAATATTTCTCCAAAATAGATGAGGCTTATGGAGGATAAAAATAAACTAGAAGAAAGTCAGAGAGGCCAGCCAAAAACCCAAATGATTAAGGTCTGCCAAGAATGATTTATGAACATGGAAAAAAACCCAGATATTCTGTTGTTGACTCAGTGGCTGCCTATAGACAGATAATTGGTCTGCAAATATTTATAAGGCATTAACAACAAGCATATCAAGGAATTATCTAACATGTAACAAGGTCAAAGCTCAGACTAACGGGACAAAATCAAGGAAGAGGCAGTTTTAGCTTTCCAATCAAGGAAAACAAATACTGAGATCTCAGACTGAATTTACCTTCTCAAAGGAAATGGTGGAAGTTGTATTTTTCAGGTGCTACTGTAAAGAAAGCTCGGTTTGAATGGGACAACAGGGGTTTCAATAGCATCATGACATTTTATACACTATAGAGCTTTTCAGGGCGATTTCCCACCATCTCTACTTGATGCAGGATTAGCACTAACAAGCCCTTGTGCTTCAAACACCAGGTGTTGATCCAGGTTGGGTCTTCGAAGTGTATAGAATTCACCTTCTGACTGCTCCTGTCCCCATGCCCCAGTTGGCACCCAGCAATTTCATGCTAATTCTGGACCTGCCAAGAACTTAAAGAGACTTTGTCATAGTGCCCCTTTGCCATGGCTTGCAACCCTGAAAACATTGATTATTCACAGTGAAAATTAACTATCTAGGTCAGTGGTTCTCAACTCTGGCTGCATTACATTACATCACATATATCCAGACAGACTTTATTTTAATACAGATGCCAAGGCCCTATCCCAGACTCACTAAATAGATTCTTTGGTAGTGAGGCCCAGGCATCAGTATTTTTCATAAGGCTTCCAGGTGATTCTAACGTATGGGCACAAGAAGAACACTGATTTAGATAATGATTCCTATTTTGCCATACATTAGATTTCCTGTGAATATTAAAAAAAATACCAGGCCTTCTACCCAGAAATTTAAGCTTAATTGGCCTTGGATGAGACTCAATTATCAATTTTAAAAGCTCTTTAGGCGATTTTATTGTGTAACTAGGTGGAGAAGGTTTCTCCTTGTGGGAAGAGTCCCACTTTGCTAAACTCTAAACTTATTTTCTCCCTCCATCTTTGACCTCTCCCATGCCCCAGGCCCCCTAATATAAACCTACTTTTCCTGCTGACCATCTCATCTCAGTAGCTTTACCATCTTCTCAGTCACCCAAGCCCAGGTTCCTCAAAGCCATCTTTGACTCTTCCCTCTCCCTCACTCCCACACCAAAGACTGGCAGAGCACCTCACACATTCATTCTTTCCTAAGGCAGGATCCCTCTCACCAAGAAGATCTATGTCACTTCCTAATAGATTTCAATGTTCTTAACTGCTCTACTGGATTGATTGCAAAAGTGCCTCCAATTCTTCACACATACGTATAACCATATTCTTTGAATTTTGAGTTTGTAGCTTCTCTCATCTAGAAATAGACTATAGAGTCTATGTCTCCAGCTGATGAATCTGGATTGGCCTTGTGACTTGTTTCAATCAATAGAATGCCACAGAAGTGGTAGTCTGCCAGCTCTAACATGAGGCCTAAAGAGACCTTGCACTTATCCATTTCTTTCCCTGCTTCTCTGTGATCAGCATAAGAATGTGTCCAGACTACCCTAAAAACAAGCCTCTGCTAACTTGCTGGAGGTGAAGAAAACACATGGAGCAAAGCCAAACCATCTCAGACAAGGCTTCAAAGATGTGAGGAAGCTCAGCCACATCAGCAAAGCCAACAAGCCCACGTGCAACTGACCAAAGATGAGAGACAGCCCCATTATGCCCCCAAACCATATCAGCAGGTGTGTACAGCCAACCTAATACTCATGAGAAATAATAAATGGCTGGTTGATTTAAACTACGGAATTTTGGGGTGCTTTATGACACAGCAATAGCCAACTGATACATCTACCTAACCAAGATCACTAACAATAATAAAGCTGCCATTAACAATAATAATAAGACCCAACTTGGTGAAATCCCACCTCTACTAAAAATACAAAAATTAGCCAGGCATGGTGGCGGGCCCCTGTAATCGCAGCTACTCAGGAGGCTGAGGCAGGAGAATTGCTTGAACCTGGGAGGCGGAGGTTGCAGTGAGCCAAGATCGTGCCACTGCGCTCCAGCCTGTGCGACAGAACGAGCCTCCATCTCAAAACAACAACAACAACAACAAAACAATAATAATAAGACTTCTAGGATATATGTATTTACAAATAGGAGGTGTAGAACCATAAGAGGGCTGTGGTGTGTGGTGTGTGTGTATGTGTGTCTGTGTGGGTATGTCTGTGTGATCTAAATTTTCATACTGATAACATTTTTAAAATCATCTAGATAACCACTACATAATTGAGTCCTGCTATGCAGTTTCAATGCTTGCACTTGCATGCATGTCTACAGTGGTGAGATGTTAATAGTGATGGGCCAGTGAGGAAGAGAGGTGGACCTGATACATAGAAGATGTGTTCATGCTAAGCAAAGTTTAAATAATACCACTGTTCACTGCATAAACAATAAGTTGGAGTAGAGAAAAGTGGGGAAAGACTGAGTCAACATAACACACAGAGTATGGGAAAGGCCAAACTTTAATAACCTGGGCTGTAGCAGTTAGTACTATATTCACATCGTCCACAAAGATTTATTTTCATATTGATTACAAATGGGTCTATTAAATTAATACTGCTTCATTTAATTTTATTGTGCTTGTGTTGTTTATAATGTTTAAACTCGTTTTGGTTTTATACCTGTAGCAGAGCACGAAACTTGAGAAATTTATAACAAATATAGTTGTAAATATTTAACATTATAATAGAAACAATTTAACACAGACTAGGGGGTGAGATCCTGCAAATATTTCTTTTTTAATTAAAGATATTTATTCTGAGCCAAATGTGAGTGACCATGGCATGAGGCACAGTCGTGAGAGGTCCTGAGAACATGTGACCCAGGTGTTCAGGGTACAACATGGTTTTATACATTTTAGGGAGACAGAAGACATCAATCAATACATGTGAGACATACATTACTTCAGTCTGGAAAGGCAGAACAACTCAAAGAGAGAGCTTATAGGTCATAGGTGGATCCAAATATTTTCTTTTTTTTAACTTTTAAGTGCAGGGGTACATGTGCAGGTTTGTTACACAGGTAAACTTGTGTCATGGGGGATTGTTGTACAGATTATTTCATCACCAGGTATTATTTCTTACCTTTAAAAAAGACCTATTCATCATTCATGATATTGAAACTCTGTATTAAGTTGTTCTATCCTCATGTTCACACCGTAAAGTTGAAATCACTGCCCCCAATTAATGGATAAGGAAATAGAGAAGAGTTAACTCATTTGTCTAAGAACCTATCCTAAGGAACTGGCAGAGCTGGGATTTTGACTCCAGGTCTGTCTGGTGCCAAAGGTTGCTCTCTTTACTTTGCATCTGAAAATACAGGTCAAGTCCACCCCTCTCTTTAAAAATTTCTCCATAGCTCCCTATGGCCTTTCAATTAAATTCTAATTCTTCAGCAAAGCATCCAAGGTTCTCCACAAGCCATTAAACCACTTTCTTTTCTACATCTTTTAGCCCACACTCTAGTCCAGCAATTTCAGATAGCTCACTTCTCAACATTCATTTCCATCCCTTCACGCCTAGGAATGTTCTCCTCTGTCCATAGAAATACTACTCAGTCTTCATGATGCAACCTGTTATGTCCTTTCTGATGCCCAGACCCCTATCAAAACTCCATCCTTATCCCTTTGTACAGACACTCAGACACTGATTTTATTCCATTTTACATTATGAGAACTTCTTAAAATGTCTCTTTCACCAGATTGAGAATCTTGTCCTTGAAGGCAATGATTCTATTGTTACTTTTTATTTTTTTGAAGACAATAGGTTTGTTGTTGTTGTTGTTTGTCTGTTTGTTTTGTAGTTAGGATAACACTTCCTCATTGAAAGTGAGTATAAAGGAAGAAACCTTCCCAGCACTTTGGGAGGCTGAGGTGGGCAGATCACGAGGTCAGGAGATCTAGACCAACCTGGCTAACACGGAGAAACCCCGTCTCTACTAAAAATACAAAAAAAATTAGCCGGGCGTGGTGGTGGACATCTGTAGTCCCAGCTACTCGGGAGGCTGAGGCAGGAGAACGGCATGAACCCAAGAGGTGGAGTTTGCAGTGAGCCGAGATCGCGTCACTGCACTCCAGTCTGGGTCACAGAGCAAGACTCCATCTCAAAAAATAAATAAATAAAAATTTAAAAAAATACCTTAGGCCGGGCGCGGTGGCTCACGCCTGTAATCCCAGCACTTTGGGAAGCCGAGGCGGGCAGATCACGAGGTCAAGAGATTGAGACCATCTTGGCCAACACGGTGAAACCCCATCTCTACTAAAAATACAAAAATTAGCCGGGCATGGTGGTGCATGCCTGTCCCAGCTACTCGGGAGAGTGAGGCAGGAGAACTGTTTGAACCTGGGAGGCAGAGGTTGCAGCGAGCCGAGATCGCGCCACTGCACTCCAGCCTGGCGACAGAGCAAGATTCTGTCTCAAAACAAAAACAAAAAACAAACAAACAAACAAACAAAAAACCTTAAATCTCTGTCATCACTTGTGATATTTCTTTCCCATATCATCTTTTTAAAATTTTACAGAACTGGGATAATATTATAGATCTAGTTTCATATCCAGTTTCTTATTTTATTAAATTGCTAGATTATGACATTTTATCACATCATTTAATAGTTCTCAAAATTTTAATTTTTAATGGCTCTGATTCCAATCCATCTGGTTTCCATAATTTATTTAATACTTGACAATATTTAGGTATCTAAACAATTTCCAGGGTGCTTTTTCTCTAAAAGTATGATAGTGTCCTTCTCCGTAACCCTTTTCATCTAAATTTTCTTTTAATACATCTTTAGAAATAGAATTGAGATATGCATCTAGTATCTTCTCCTGCCCAAAACTCATTCAATTGTCTTACACACAATTCTGTGAACACTTGCACATACTTTGCACATAGGCTCATACCTGGCACAAAATAGTCTCTCAGTGTGGGTTGAATGAAATAAACAAATGAATGAAAAAATGAATAGTAGGCATTCTATCCAAACAAACTCTTTAGAATCAACTATAAAGCATGTGAAAATCTAATTACATTTAGGGAACAGAATGTGAATGTTAATATACCTTGATAATGGATAAGTAAGAATACGACTGAGAATTCGGAGGAGGAATGATGAGTGGAAGATAGCATTTACGTATATGGCCCTAAACTCTCATAGCAAAAAGTCAGAATCTACTGTCTAAATTTTATAAAACAAGAAAGTATGTTAGAATCCTGGTAGTAAACAGAAGAGCCAAGAATTGAAGCATTTTACAGTTTTATCCTTAGAGAATGGAACTCAGAGGAGATAATTTTACTCTTCATGCTGTTTTGTAAATATTTGAATATTTTTACAATGTATACAAATTGCTTTTATAAATTTTGCTTTTATTTTTTCTTGTATAATTTTAAAAGCATGAAGAACAAAAATACAACTCTTTTCCTTTAAGAGAGAGATTAAGTCAGACTGTCTAGTTTAAGCCTTCAGAGAATCTAATCCCTTCAATGGGTATACAGTAATGACTTCTGAATTCTCTCACCTATATGATTCTAAGACACTCTTTATTTCTTTTCTCAGTCATCCCAACAGCCTCCTCCCTTACTGTCTAGTCACATTTGTGCTTCATCAAAAACTCTCCTTTTCAGCTAGGCGCAGTGGCTAACGCCTATAATCCCAGCACTTTGGAAGGCCGAGACAGGCGGATCACCTGAGGTCAAGAGTTTGAGACCAGTCTGGCCAACACGGTGAAACCCAGTCTCTACTAAAAATACAAAAAAAATTAGCTGGACATGGTGGCGGGTGCCTGTAGGCCCAGCTACTCGGGAGGCTGAAGCTGGAGAATCGCTTGAACCCAGGAGGCAGAGGCTGCAGCGAGCTGAGATCATACCATTGCACTCCAGCCTGGGGAACAGAGCCAGACTCTGCCTCAAAAAAAAAAAAAATTAATTAATTAAATAAATAAAAATAAAACTCGCCTTTTCAAGTTTAAAAAATATATAAATAGGCAGCATAAAAAAGAATGAGTAATAATAATAGCAGTTAATTCCCTTAGATAAAGGTCAAGGAGCATCTTGCAAAGGGGCAATACTGAACAACTGTGTTTTGCATAATAATATATATAAAATAATATGTGGCTGGCTGGAGGAGGCCAGTGTCCCTTTGTTCTAAGTAAATGTATTCAGCAAAAATTTGCTGAGTACTTGCTATATCTAAAAAAAATCCCAACAACAACCACAGGAATAAACAGGAAGAGAATTCTGTGGCCTTTATTGATCTCTCTGTCATATCTATGGCCAGAAACAAGGCATCTTTCTTCTGTGTTGCATCTAGTATGCATCTGTATCTTTAATATAATTAATATGTAAGAGTAAATTGATAATCTATTATGTGTGCACCATCATGGAAGAAAGAAAGAAAAACATATTTTATTATTAAAAAGTCAAAAAAAACAACAAGGTATGGAGGAAAGGGAATGCTTATACACTGTAGGAATGTAAATTAATACAACCTCTACGGAAAATAGTATGGAGATTTCTCAAAGAACTAAAGATAGAATTACCATTCGATTCAACAGTCCCACTACTGGGTATCTACCCAAAGGAGAAGAAATCATTATATTAAAAAGACACTGGCACTCATATGTTTATTGCAGCCACTATTCACAATAGCAAAGTTAAAGTCATAGAATCAACCTAAGTGTCCATCAACTGGTGACTGGATCAGGAAAATTTGAGATATACATACATATATACACACACACACCATGTATACATATATGTATACACACACTATGAAATATTACTCAGACATAAAAAAATGAAATCATGTCTTTTACAGCAATATAGATGGCACTGGAGACCATTTATCCTAAGTGAACTATTTCAGAAACAGAAAGTCAAATACAGCATGTCTCACTTACAAGTGGGAGCTTAACAATGAGTACACGTGGGTGTACCGAGTAGAATAAAGACATTAGAGACTCCAAAAGGTGGGAGAATGGGAGGGGATGAGGGATAAAAATTACCTACTGGGCACAGTGTACACTGTTCAGGTGATGGATACACTAAAAGCCCAGACCTCACTACTATGTAATATACACATGTAACAAAACTGCACTTGTACCCAATTCCTGCCATTGTTATTGTCATTCCTCAACCAATGTGTCAGAGTAGTCCAGAATAAAAACAGATGCCCCTAGGATATGTTTTAAATTACAAGGTCATTGTCATTAGAAGAACTGCCAATGGTTGAAAGGGAAACACCATACCAAATAGAATTATATTTAATTATAGCTATGTTATGTATTCGTTTTGCCAAGAGATCACTTAATATGTAACAATGAAAGTAGAATAAAGAGGAAAACCAACAAAGCATGAATTCTCCTCTTAGTTTTTAACAAGTAAATAAATTAAGATGTCTGATAAGGGGAGCTGGAGAGAGACAGATGCTTTAATTATCACATCCTGGCGTGCAATCTAAGACAGGGGAAGAGAGAAGGTCTTTCCTCATTGCAGTTTATGTCAGTTCATAGTACAATTACTCCTGGTGTCTCATACGTTGAACTTGAATGTCTTGAATTTAAAAAATGGATGAGCACCCCCCTCATCTGCTTATCAGAGCAAACCCATAAACACAGAATGATGTGGCACCTGGTGACAGCCACCCTAGGAGACAGAGCCACCCTTCGGCCTCTGTATGTGCCTGGTCTCTGCAGTACAGAGGAGGGAAAGCAGCTACTTTGAAGACTGACATTATCATGACCATCTTAGAAGATATCCATGGATCAAGGCATCCAAAGGAGCCTCTGGGAACCCAGGGTAAGCTCAGCAGAAGACCAGGAAGCCGGGCTTCCTTCCTAGAAAAGGAAAGCAAATGACCATGTGCTGAACACACTGCAACAGGCATTGTGCTTGGGGCTTCACCTCATTTATCTCTCATTCAAGCCCATGGGGAAAGTATTACTCTCCTCATTTTGTTAGGAGGAAATTTAAAGATCACACAGCAGTTCAATGCAAAGCTGGAGTTGGGAACCAGTTCCCTTTATCCCCAAAGCACTGCCTGCTCAATGGAAGAAAGATTCATCTTAAATCAGGTCTGACTTCACTTATGCATACATTTTATTTAGGAAATAGTGTCTGGAAAGGTACACTTCAATTATTCTGATTGCTAATCAAATTTTCTGAGATGAAAGTAATTTTTAGGATTTGGACCTCAGCCATTCTCGAAGCTTATAGTGACCCCAACATCTTGGGAAACCAAATTTAAAAAAGCCTTGAACCCACCCTGCACTCTTAAAACAGGTCAGTGTGTTATGTTTTTCTTTTTCCCACAGTTCTACAAATACCTCTTTCTCTACTTACATCAGGGCTCTTTTCTCTGACTAACTGGTTGGATGGACAGACACTAAAAATGGTCCCCCAGGGGAGAGGCAAATGTCCCATTACCAGAATTACCTGAACACAAACTAGGTTAGAACCGAGAGAACATCCATGCAAAATGAGTTGCATACCAGCCATGGCAGCAGAATTTTTCATCCAAGGCATCTTTGCAAGAACCTTTCTTGTGTTGAAAATAAGCAGAGTAAAGGAACATCCATGTGGCCACCAAGACACCAAGACACTCAGAGCAAACCCCTAGACTTGAGATTAGTAACATGGCTCTGAACAAGGCCTACCTCTTTCAATACAGCTTTTACTTGATTGTATTTACAAACAATTCTGTAAGGACAATATGCAATTCTCTAGTACTTTTTTCACTGAGCACTTAGCTTCACAATGTTAATTAACAAAGCATCTCACACAGTTGCATGCGAACACATGCACACACATAAGACTCACAAGAGTTGTACCAGGAAAAACGGTGACCTGTATTAGAACATTTGAAAACATTAGTGTCAGGATTCTAATTTGAACCTTGTTATTAGGGATTTGACAATCTATGTGTCAGTTTATGGACATATAAAAACGTTTCTTTGAATATATGTCTCTCAGTTAAAGAGTATTTAGACATATGCCAACAGGCCTGATTTCAGAGGTGCTTATCTTCAGTTACAAACAAGGTACAAATAAATATTTGTGGAGGGAGGGAGAAAGGAAGTTAGAGAGGGAAGGAGCAGGCAGAATGGGTACTCCTCTGGTAAACTGCTGAATTATCTTCAGAGGCCCAAAGAATCAAAAAGAAAAAAAAAATCCCAATATCATAGACCACCGGGCATCTTCCCAATACATTAGTCACATACCAACTAATTATTGACCCAACAGGGATAGAATCTCAGACCTAATCCATGAACCTTTTTCATTATACTTCATCTGTGTACATAGCCAGCCTCATTTTTATCTGTTCTGTATCTCTTAGTGCCACCTGCTCCTGACGAGAAAGTAGCCCCCTGTGACAGTGTGAAAAACATATTTGGTCTTTGTTGGTCTTTGCCAACTCCTCACTCTCCACCCCAACATTTTCCTATACCCCCTCCCAAAATGCCATTTCTGGCATACAGCTCCTAAAATCCTTGGAATCGCCATAGTGTCTTTTATATGCCAATGAAATGACTAGTGGCTGGGGACTCCACCATAGCTCCTAGATGGGGGCCAGAAAAACTAAGGCATGATTAGAGGTTTGGAACTTTCAGCTCTATCCAGCCCCCAACCTGCAGGAAACAGAGAGGGGCTAAAGATTGAGTTGATCCCCAATGGCAATGATGTAATCAATTATGCCTATGTAATGAAGCCTCCACAAAAACCCCAAAAGACAGGGTTCAGAGATCTTCCAGACAGCTGGACATGTCGAGGTTCCTGGAGGGTGGTGTGCTGGAGAGGGCATGGAAGCGCCAAACCCCTCCCCACCTACCTCCCACTCTGCATCTCTTTCATCTGGCTGTTGATAAGTATTCTTTGTAATATCCTTTATAATAAATGGGTAGATGTAAATAAAGCGTTCCCCTAAGTTCTGTGAGTTTCTCTAGCAAATCAATCAAATCTGGGGAGGGGATTGTGGGAATCCCCGATTTATAGCCAGTTGGTCAGAAGCACAGTTGGCAACCTACTACTTGTAACTGACATCTGAAGTGGAGGACCGTCTTGTGGGACTGAGCCCTTAACCTGTAGGACTGGACACTATCTCCAGGTAGACAGTGTCAGAATCTGATTTAATTAGAGGCCACCCAGCTGGTGTCTATTGGAGAATTGCTTGGTGGGAAGAAATCCTCACACATTTTGACGGCCAGGGGTCACAGAAGTACTGTGTTGTGAATATATAGTACGAGAAAGTGAGTTTGTTTTTTTGTATGCTTACACTTCCTGAGTCAAAAAAACAAGATCTTCTCAGCTATTCACAATCTCACCATCATCCCACTCCATCACCCAATAAAAAATTGAGGGGACACTGGGTTTTTCCACCATCACTTTGTATGTCCCACACTGCACCACAAGTCCCCCATCAGGCCCTTATAAGACATAGTCCTACAGGGGCTGGGGAGAAAGGGCAGAATCCTGTGGGATGACCCAGTCAGAAACAGCAGAGGGAAGACCTTCCATGGGTTGGAGCAGGACGAGAGGCTGATGAGATTCAGAGCAGCAAAAGCCAGCTTTGCATTCAACCAACATCTCTTTTCTGGGCACCTCATACACTGAACATGACCTCATTTGCTCTGCCAATATCTCCATGAGATAGACAGCCAGGCAGGCCTTAACTTCTTCATTTTCAAGAAAGGTACCTGAGGCACGAGGAGGCTAGGTAATGCATCCAAGGTCACTTAGCTAATCAGCATCCTCTATCTTTTGATGCCCTACTCACAGTTCATATACTTTTCCCATTATTCTCTTGATTCCTTTCATTTCAGTGGCTGGCAATAAAATATAACCAGGTCTTCAGTAGAAACCCCAGTATGTTAGCTATGTAAGTCCACATCTACCCACTGAATAAACGCAGAATTTGAAGTATAGAACACAAGAAGGAAAAGATTACTTGGGCTGGGAGTAGAGTCCAAATTGACTCAAAGGTAAAGGGACATCTTCCAAGTGCCCAGGTGGCATCATTGGTCGAATCTCAGAGTTGGAAGGAGTCTCAGACTGTATCTATTCTGATGTAGGATTCCCCTCTCCAAGCAAATGTTCACCTGCGCCATATTTCTTTTAAAGTCTTCTCCTTAGTTAGATGGCTCCAATGTATCACTCTAGAGGAATTTGGAGAATACTTTCATAGCCAATGGTGAGAAGGAGATATAACAACAGGCACCTATTCTTCTATTAATCCCTGTTTGCAAGGGAAGCCTCTCTAAGTTAATAGCTACAGTTCTCATGGATTAAAGACTAAATTGAGAATGTTATTTGGTAGGATTAAGAACTTGCTTTGTACGAAAATCTTAAACCACAAAATTGCCTCAGAAGAGATGTTCTCCTTTTCCCCAACTTAGAGACAGATAAAGATATAAATAGATACACAGATTCACAAAAGTAGAAAAGATGGAACACAGGAGGAAACGTGAAGAATATGATTTCACACAGCTAGAGGGGACTCAGGTAATAATCAGTATAGTACAGACTGCCTAGGGTTTTGCACCAAAAAACCCCAATTAATTAGTGATGGCTGCCTTGGGCATAGATTTGGAGAGTGGTGGTACACACATTCCACATTTTTCAAGTCTCTAATGTTGTCTAAGCCCCTCACTTCACACCTAAGAGTCCCTGTTGGAAGACAATTCTCTGTGAATATCTCACATTTCTGCACAGTTTGAGTCCTCTGAGCAAAGGGCTCTACTGACAATTTTTTCTGGGTTGGTTGCATAGTAAAAATTCTTGGAAATGAAATAGAGTGTCTCTCTCTAGGTCAGAAGGCAGATTTGTTTCCTGACCAGTATAACAAAGATAGAGACTGTCTCCTTCCCCAGAGACATTCCAGGATAGTTAGGTCTCCCTCCTTTCTCTGAAGATTTGCTCATATTCTAGAGTAAAGTTAAGGTCTTCTCTCTCTGCAGGGAAGAGTATGAGCAGGTCACCAGCAGCCCTAGATAAGGTCAGAGAATTTTCTAAACTGGAGCGGGGGGTGTCTCCTGCTTAACAGGCTCCACTATATGTGCAACTACCATCTGGCCCTTACCACATCACCCATGGGCATCAGGATTCAGAGAACTAATGCAAGAGATCACCTTGATTGCTGTATTTGCCATAAGTAATCAATGATCTTTGTGTTTGATCTAGAGTTTGTATCTTCTCTCATTATGTACCCTGACAGCAGTGTGGGTACGTGTGTATGCACATATACAGATATATCTATACACACATATATATCTGTATACACCATATACATATATATAATATCTACCTGTGGCAGATTAACTTGTTAGCTTGCAAGTAGGCTGCAGTCTCAGACCCTTCACAGTTTCTGACTTAACAATCCTAATTCTCAGTGCAATGTTCTTTCCATTGAAGAACTACAATGTGTTGCCAGGCCATTTTGACCTGTTTTGTAACCCTCAGTACTACCTGATCCTGGACCAGAAGGTAGCTCCCTGAGTCAAAGAACTCAGAATCCCCTCAGCTATTTACTATCTCACTGTCACCCTCTCCTCTATCACCTAATAACGAAGTGAGGGGGCCTTGCATCTTTCCACCATCATCCTCGCTCTGTACTCCCACACCACATCACAAATCCTCCATCAAGAAGTAATCCTGGCTGGGCGTGGTGGCTCATGCCTATAATCCCAGCACTTTGGGTGGCCAAGGTGGGCAAATCACCAGGAGTTCGAGACCAGCCTGGCCAACATGGCAAAACCCAGTCTCTACTAAAAATACAACAATTAGCTGAGTGTGGTGGTGTGCACTTGTAATTCCAGCTACTTGGGAGGCCAATGTGGGAGGATCACTTGAACCCAGGAGACAGAGGTTGCAGTGAGGTGAGATTGAACCACCGCACTCCAGCCTGGACCACAGAGTGGGAGGAGAAAGAGGAGGTGGCGGGGGAGAGGGGATGGGGGAGGGAAGGGAGATGAGGAGGAGGAAGAGAAAGAAGAAGAGGAGAAGGAGGAGAAGGAAGAAGGAAGGAAGCAAGGAAGGGAAGGGAAGGGAGGAAGGGAGGGAGAGAGGAAGGAAGGAAGGAAGGAGGAATGAACGAACGAAAGAAGGAAAGAAAGAAAGAAAGAAAGAGAAAAAGAAAGAAAGAAAGAAAGAAAGAAAGAAAGAAAGAAAGAAAGAAAGAAAGAAAGAGAGAAAGAGAGAGAGAAAGGGAAAGAAATCCTGCAGAGCCTGTAGGGGGAGAAAAGGCAGAATCCTGTGGGATAAGCCAGTCAGTAATAGCAGAGGGGACCCTCCCATGGGCTAGGATAAGGAACAGAATAAGAAGGTGATGAGATTTAGGACAGTGGAAGAAGGAATAAATGAATGCAATGACAGATGATAAGAAGGTAAGAGAAAGCCGGATGAAGAAAGAAAAAGAAATGAAGTACACGCAAAGAAGGCAACATGAAGACAGCATAGTACGCTAGAAAAAGAAAGTTAGTGATAGGTTTTTAAAAGTGTGAAGTCAAAAATAGTGTTGCAAGAAGTCCCTCCCAAAATGCTTATGTCATTAAAGCAGAAAACCCTTTACATACCTGTGTTTCCATTAATAGCTCCATTTAACATATGAGAAAACTAAGGCACAGAGAGCTAAGTAAACCTATTAATAAGCCTTATTCAACTGCTCCAACAAGGCTCAGAGAAGCAAACCTGAGCCGCTTTTTGTACTTTTCTTTACAAGGTTTACTTCCTCTTTCAGTTCTTTAGAGATGCTGCCACTTGGAGCCTCTGATTTATGGTTTCACAAGTAAAAACTGTCGTAGGGGGGTGTCGACTGTCATATTTAGGAAGACAACAGTGCTGTTTGTCCTGCGACTGTTTACAGAAGACAGATCGTGCCAGACACAAACACAGTGCCATTGACAGGCTTTGGAAAGAGGCAGGATGGACAACAGGGGCCCTGAGGCGTGCTGTGTGTTTAGATGGTCAGGGAGACATTTGATGTCCATCAGGATATTTCACTTGCAAATTCATTCAAATTGACCAAGAGAAGACTAAGGCTTTCCCAAACTGAAAACACAACATTGTAAGAATGATGAAGAGGAATAATATTTAGAGAGCAAAGTCTGGAATTTGGAGGGAGGAATGTGAGATGTCCTTGGGCCCTGAGGAGCTACAGCAGCTCAACAAATTGAGTTCTGGGCAAAAGAGGGTGAGTAATGCCCACTGGTGATAGAAGGTGGGGTGGTGGCTGGCTACCTGGCTTTCAACAGATCAATGAACTCCCAAGGGCCTGCCTCTCTGTAGAATGGGGCAGCAGTACTAATCGACTTCTTGGGGCTATCACTTGGAAAAGAATAAAAACGTTCTAAAGGTGCTTGGTAAATATGAAGTGCTGTACAAATGGCAATACTAACATCACATTTTATTTAACATCTTCATTAAGAACTCGGAGTGGAACAGGCAGGCTGTTAATGAAGTCTGCAGAGTACTAAATCGGGCACTGCTGCCAACAGCACGGCTCAGACAAGCAAGCACCCAGCGGATATATGCGCAAGCCCCTGGGATGGAGGGTTAGGTTCCTCCTGCACAGATCAACCTGCCCTGCCCAGGAGCTCTCCCTAAGGGGACCATCTGGGGAATATCACACTGAGTCTTCTCCTCCCTCTCCATCCTTAGCATGTGTGTCCAGGTAAAACTGGACTGAAAGGAATGGGAAGGATGTGTAAAGAGGGATGTGGAAGCTCCCCCAGGGTCCACCCAAGATGTGGAAGTATAGAAGGAGGGCTGGGGAATCTAACTCCCAAGTCCTGGTGATGGAAGGTCCCATGTAGGGGGTGCAGTGCAGTTGCGACACTTGATGGTCTCTCCAGAAAGACGGCAATGCTCCTCTTATGAGATGGGCCTACAGCCCTGGGCATCAAAATGCCACACCCTCCTTGGGCTTTTGTCTTCAAAGAGAAAAAGTGCAAGATACTACTCTCGACCTGGGTGAGCATCAAGGCCAAGGAAACAAAAATCAGCCTTGAGAGTTCATGGCTATGCCCCTGGACAACACAAACAAGCCTATGGCAGAATCCAAACTCCTCGTGGCTTGCAAGGCTCTTCATGACCCAGTCCTTGCTCCGCTTTCCAGTCTTACCCCTCACCACCCATAGATTTTGCTCCAGCTATGCCAAGTTACAGCCAGCTCCTTGGCTCTATACATATCCTGTTCCCTCTGCCAGACACACTCTTCTCTTCCCTCCTTGCCTGGATAAGTCAACTCATCTTTCAGGTCTCAGTTCTCTAATGACTGCCCTGAGCACTCATCTTCTATGCACCATAGCACCTTATGTTTTTCTCATCATAGATCCTGACTCAACAATTATTTATTGACTGTCTATTCTGTGACAGACACTGTAGAGAGGCCACAGCATTAAATGAGACAGACCAAATCCCTACCTCTCAGGAGAGACAGCAGTTCTCAAACCTGGCTACACATTAGAATCACCTGGGAAGCTTTCTAAAAAATATCATTACCATTCCAACTTTATTAGTGTGGACTGGGGCCCTGATGATGGGTATATTTGAAAACAGTGGTTTTCATCAATAACAGCCTTTTGGGATTTCTTAGGAAGATTCATAAAATACCAAAGCCTTGTTCCCACCACAGGGTACCTAAATCAAAATGCCTGGGAATGGGGCTTGGACATAGGTTTTTTTTTTTAAGTTATCAGGAGAAGCTAGAGTATGGTGAAGGTTGAGAGCTAGTGGTCTAGAGGGGAAAAAAGACATGAAATACCTATCATACAGCCAGTAATGGCCTGCTTACTTATCCGTATCCCTGATAGTCTATGAACTCCTTAAAAGCAAAGATCTTATCTAAGATATTGTTCTCAGGATCTGGTATTGTGCCTGGCACACAGTAGACTCTCATCTAATATTTACTGAAAGAAGGAAAGGAGAGGACATAAGCTCTTAATTATCTTGGTTCAGTGGTGTATTAGTTTTTTAGGGCAACAAAGTACGACAAAGCAGGTGATATAAACAACAGAAATTCATTGTCTCGCAGTTCTGGAGACTAAAAGACTGTGATCAAGTGTTTTCAGAGCTGGTTATTTCCGAGGACTCTAAGGGAGAGTCTGTTTCATGCCTCTTTTTTAGTTTCTGGTCATTTGCTGGCAATCTTTGGCTTGTAGATGTATCACTTGGATCTCTGCCTTCATGTTCACATGGCATTCTCCCTGTGTATATGTGTCTGTTTCTGTGTCCAAATGTCCCCTTTTTATGAGAACATACTCATTGGATTAGGGCCCACCCTAATGACCTCACGTTAACTCGATCATCTACAAAGACCCAAATAAGGTCACATTTACAAGTTCTGGGAGTTAGAATTTCAACATCTTTTGAGAGGATAAAATTCAATCCAAAACAAGTAGGATGCTCTTTCTTATGCTGGAAAAAGGAATGAAGAAAGGACAAACTCTTAATTATCTTGGTTGAGTGGGATGCTCTCTTATGTTGGATCAGAGCTCCCTGTTCTAACTTAATTCCAAACAGAACTTCTTCCAGCAGCACTTTGCAGAGCAAAATGGCATAAAGTAGACCTGGGCTTTAGCAAAATGGTCAATCGGCATATATCATCCACCCTTTCTCCTCCCAAGGCACCTTGCCTTATTTTCCAGTTCTTAGTTGGCCGCATGGTCCTAGTTGGCTGCTGCATCTGAACAGGGAGGAAGAGAGTTCCATATAAGATGCTATATAATTTTGTTGTCTCTTGGAGATGTTGGAAATTAAATTTCTCTTTAAACACTATCAATGCCCAAAATAATACATCCCTAACAGTGGAACTGTAGCCATTATGACAAGAGAGGTCAAGAGAAATGGGAGGAGGACAAAGGAGAACTCCTGGTGACCACCCTCCTCATCTGGCCCACCCTCTCCCTCTGAAACACATGAGGCATTATTGGACTTGGTCTATTGAAGGCTTGTTCTGGGTCACTTTAGGAAATAAAAACTCTAAAGGGTTTTTATACTTTCTAAAGAAAATGTAACTTTCGCATTCTATCCCAACTCCATCAATGGTTAATTAACATATTTTATGAAGTAGCCACTTATTTTTTTTCTAATGAAAACTCAGAGCTTGACCTATGCTTATCATACAAGTTGACTCTCATCTTGGGATTGCACCTGGCAGCACCACCTCTCTAGAAGGCTAGCTGTAGCCTGGATGTTGGCTCTGATGCCATTGATTAATAAGCCCACTAACTAGTGCTTAAGCTGCAACTGCCAAGCTGGGGTGGGCACCCAAATTGGCACCACTTTATGAAAAAACTTCTTTTTACATGCTTTCAGGAACTAGTTTAATTAAACAAGCTCTCACCTTTTCAATTGTTCTCATCTAGATTTTCAGCCATTCTGAAATGCTGTTACTTATGACTGACAGCTGCCTTGAGAGATAATAATGTGGGAAAAATTAAAGATCCTCCACATATTCCTCATACCAAGAAAAAAGCACTAGGCTGGGAGTCCTAAGGCATGAAATCTTGACCTGGATCTGTCACCATCTGGGTGTCACTGGGAAAATCACTTCCCTTCCCCTCATCCACAATTTTCTCAGATGTTTAATGGTGATAATAATAGCCAGACATTCTTCTAAGCACTTTATGTACATTGAATCACTTAATGCCCCAAACAGCCTTATGAAGTAGTACTATTATATTCCTCCTTTAAATATAAGAAGATCAAGCCACAGAGAATCAGCTTGCCTTAGGGCACACTACTAGTGACTGGTGAGCTGAGACTTGAGCCAAGTAACCTGGCTCCAGCATCTTTGCTCTTGGCCAATATGCTATAATAATGGCATCATAATATCAGTACCACCGGAAGTAGTAAGAATTAACTCAGATTATGCACATAAAAATTTAGCAAAATATTTCATAAATGTCAGCTATATTTATTATATTACAGTGTAGGATTCCAAAAAATGTTAGGTAGGTGGGCGGCTAGATGCCTTCTCCAGAACTGTCTGGAAGTCTTCTCCTGAGGATGTAGTCCATATTTGATAAGATTCTATTATTTTCTAAATTTCATGGGGAAATGTGAAAAGGACAACACTAGGTGAGTTTTGAGAAAAATGTCCACTTGATCTAGCACATAATCCCATTCTAACGCCTGCAAATAAGGCTGGTCTGAAGAATGGCCAGAGTAAATGTAAGACTTTCTAATCTAAAAATAGCTCTGCCATCTAAATGCCATCCTGCATAAAATGCTGCCATCTTTGGGTTAAACATTGTCCTCTACGTGCCTACGCAGGACTCTTAAAATACAAATGCCCACCAGGAGCAGACAGCATTAAGTCCCATCTGCTGCAGTGAGAGTTCGTTTATTACAGTCTTTCTTTGGGGGAATCATGTATGTATGCTATGGCTATCTATACGGGAAGGGAGTATAGAAAGAAGTGAAACACCCCAGACTTTGCATGTTTCACAACTTTGGATTAGGCCATCCTGGTTCCAAGCCCATTGCTTTTGCTTTTAATTTCAATCTGTCATGAAAGGCAAGGCAGGGCACAGAATGGAACTAAATTTACAGAACACATACCAAGTGTCAGACACTGTGCAGTGTGATTTCTCCAGCATTACTTCCTTTAACTCTTGCAACAATACTGAAATGTAGGTACTCTCAACTCCCACACCTTATACCAGTTGTTTGGTTTAGGTTTGTTTGCTTTAATGTATAAAGACACAGGAGGTCATAGATGTAAGCAATTGTCTAAGGTCCCGTATGTTGTAATTGGGCACATGTGGTGCTATAACTCAGAAACGTCCAATTCTTAAGCTTGTTCTTTGTGCCACTCCACACTCTGTGCTTGAGTTACTCAACCTCACATGACTCAAGGACCCTGCAGCAATAAGGGGAAGAGGTGGCCAGAGACAGGCCCTATAAACCAGCTGATAAAAGAAACCACAAGCACAACCCCATCCTTCCCCATCTCTGCCCTCATTCCTTATTCTGATGCAAAGCTCCAAAGGTAGAAGAAGTGGTAGCAAGGTGAGCAAAGGCCCCAAGACCATGCACACATGTATTCACACTCACACACACACACACACACCCCAAACACCGTCATCTAAAGCCCAGACACTGCTTCCAGCTGAGCCCCTGTGTGGCTGAGAGGAAAGTTATTTACAGCAAGGTCTAACCTCTCGCGCCACCATGTAATTCCAGGCAATTGCACTTCCAAATAGATCATTTTGGAGAAAATCAACAGCGGCTTTGCTTTCAATCTACTGGAAAATGAAGTCCTGTGAATGTGTTACATAAGTCCACAGCAGGCAGAGGGAGAAGCTCAGGAGCCCACAGCTCTGACCAGAGAGGGTGAAGTTCTGATGCCCCAGCCTCCCAGAGCTCCTTCCCACCTGCCCCAACCTACCAGGCTGGTGTGTGCTTATGGCTTTGTGGATTCCACCGGGCTCCAGGTAGGGAGGAAGTTATTAAGTAAAGCGTGCGAAAATCATCAGCCAGGGCTTTAGGGGAGGAATGGGAACCAGTGAATGACACAATGACCTGTCCTTGGAGAAGACTGGAGCACAGTTCCTGCCCTACCCAGCCTCCATCCCATTTAACACAATGTGGCAACAGCCACTCCCATGCACACAGCTGCACAAACACATCCCAAACCTGTGGCACAAAACATTTTTTTCCACTTTGTAATGTTTATTTTCCATTATAAAAGTTAAAAATCTCACTGAAGAAAATTTTGAAAACATAGAAACAGAAAAATGAAAACACTTTTCTCAATCTGCTAACAATAACAGTACAAATGACTGGGTAACAGTATTAGAGATATTGCGGTACACCTCTAATACCTATACCCAGTCATTTGCACAGTCATTGCTAGCAGATTGATGGATTTCTTGCCAGTGCTTGTTTTATCCATTTTAAATTTAAAATAATAATTCCTGATGAGCTTTCCATATGCCTCAGGCATTCACCTTTGGGACCCTCTGTCAAATGCTGATTGACGTGTGCTTAAGAGTTTGAAGACATAGGAAATGAGTTGGGTAGACAGATAGCCAATGGTCTGTTAGAGAATGGAGAAGGATTCCTTAGTGGGATACAAAGAACACTGAATTGAGAATCGAGAGATATTAATTCCAGCCCCATTTATACCATCATTGACTTTAGGACGTTGGATAAGTCATATCTTCCTTTTGAGCCTTATTTGCATCATCCATAGTGAGAAGAAGAGTAAAGTACATTAGCAACAAGATGAACAGGTTCTTGAACATCTTATACTTTCTGAGAAAATCACTTACTCTTCCTGTGTGTGTCTTCATCTGTACAATGGAGATATTAATGCTCATGCCCCAAAACTTCTCATAGCTGCTGTGAGGGTCAAATTAAATGGTGCGTGATATAAACGTGAACGCTCTAATAAAAAATAGAGAAAAATATCTGTGGCACATTTTAGAGATATTGTGTGAAAATGTAAGATAATAAATGTGATAACAGGCTGGGTGCGGTGGCTCATGCCTGTAATCCCAGCACTTTGGGAGGCCAAGGCAGGTGGATCACTTGGGGCCAGGAGTTCAAGACCAGCCTGGCCAACATGGTGAAACCCCATCTCTACTAAAAATACAAAAAATTAGCTAGGCCTGGTGGCTTGTGACTGTGGTCCCAGGTACTCAGGAGGCTGAGACATGAGAATTACTTGAGCCTGAAAGGCGGAGGTTACGGTGAGCCAAGATCGCGCCACGATATTCCTACCTAGGTGACAGAGTGAGACACCATCTCAAAAATAAATAAATAAATGTGATAACACCATAAAGAGAATGAAACACCATATAGGAGTGAGATGAGGAAGACACAGAGAGAGGTGCTGTTCCTGAAGTTCAGACAAGAAATCAGAAGTCATAGGAGGCTGCGGAGGGAATGAGGAATAAAGGAGTGTACTAAAAAGTAATTTGTTTTCTTCTTTACCTGGTTTATCCAAAAAGGCACCGAGTGCTCACTCTCTCCGCGCCCAGGGTGGGGAGATTCCACTGCAGAGAGCATGATTTGAGTTGGTTCTGAACTTACGCAGGAACTGAGAGACTGCTGAGACACTTCTGTCCCATCTCAGCGGGAACCTTCCCAAATGTGGAAGCCCAATGGAAGGCACTCTTCAGGCTGAAGACTGGGGTCAGTTTCATCTTTATACATCATAAAGAAGCTGAGTGGAATGCAGGCAGGGGAGGGGATAAGAGGGGAGAAGCTCTGAACCACACAAAATGCGGAGGAGAGCTACCCATCAGAATGCCCACACCAACTTTGGGGATCCCCAGGAGCAAAGCTGCCAGACCATGAAATTAGTGATAATGCGCCACCTTCTGGCAGACCTGAATATTGCACAACATCCGGTGTCCGTGAATTGCAACCCTTGTCCCAGTTCAGAGATCTAAGGGATCTTTCCAAGTCAATACACTGGTTTCACAGCACCTCCAAGACCAGGACTAGCCTAGGAAAAACTGCTACAGTGAAAAAAACGTGTTTTAGCAGCTCCTGCTTCTTTATTCAACTTGTTCTTTCCAGATTTTCCACCTTCATTTGGCTACCCAAACCCAATGTTCTTAATGCATATGCAAGTACCCATGACCTATTGAGTCACCTCCTCCAGCAACGCTTGTATTTTTACAAAAGCCTAAGGCCATGAGTGCTGTGTAATATTCATCCTGCATTCCAATTAAAACAGGTATTGGGCAATTGCTCTGTGCTACACACTGTGCTAGATAAGTAGCCGTCTTTCAGGGTCTTATAATCTATTTAGGAAAGTAAAAAAAATGACTAAACTAGATGCCACCGTGCAAGGAGATCATAAGTTGAACAGTAAAGATGATAGACTATCTAGGAGTTCTAGAAAGGAAAAAATTATTATGGTTGGGGAGGTCAAAGAAGGTAGTATTTGACCTGTGCTTTAAAGGAGTGAGATTTTTAAAAGAAGAGATGAAGAAGATACACCCAGTAAAAAGAATAGAACACACAAAGGCACAGGATGGGGAAAAGGCAAAACCTGCTCATGCAATACTTTGAACAGAGCATGTCAGGGAATAACAATGACAACTACTGGTACATTTTTATAAGGCCCATTTTTACAACTGTATCTTTTCAATCATCCCATATGGAGATATTATGACTACTGAGCCCATTTCACAGATGAAGAAAGGTAGGCTATAAGAGCCTCACTTGCTTTATGAAGTTTCTATAACTAGGAAAAGAAGAACTTAAACCCACAGACTCCATTTTCAAATCTCAGGCCATAGCAAGCATGATTAACTCAAAAAGGGAGATTGCAACTATTCTGTGAAGGACAAGGAATACCAAGCTAAAAAAGGAAATCAAGCTAATGTTGAGATTTCAGGACTGTGACAGTAAAGTGGGTCTCCCCTTTGGGGCTTGGAGTGGTGATGAGATTTTATGAGTTTTTCTCTCCTTCCAGACAAGGGCTGGCCCCTCACTGGTCATTATCTTTCCTCTTAGAAACACACCCCAGGTTCTACAGCCATACAGCCACTTGCAAACAACATATTAAAAAAGTTATTTCTTTCTTCCTCCAGTGCATTTATCTGTTTGTTTGATTTCCTGCATGCTGCATTATATGTTATTAGGCCTTAGGGTGCCTCCGTAAATTAAAACGATACAGTCAAAATGTATGATTAAAAGAATGAGAGGCAATTGCAGCATAATCATACTATGCATTCATATCCCACTTTAGCATCTGTTATCTCATTTACTCACACAGAAATCAGCAGCACTCTGAAATATGAATGACAGAATGCAGCAACTCGATTTTACCAATGGGAACACTGCAACAGACAGGTTAGGTGGTTTGCCTGAGGCAACACAGCAAGTGATTGAAACTGTACTAGACCTCCTAACTCCCAAACCAGCCTTCTTTTCACAGCAGTCTCATCTCGCAGGCTATGGAGATGAGAGTGACCATGTAGTACCATCTGCTTTTGAGTCCCAGAGTTCTGTGTTTAGCACCATGGACAGAAACACTCAGGCCCAACACCATTCTTTAAATGGCGAGTAAAGCTCAGAGGCTGGATTCTGGAATGAGGGACCATGTCATGCATCCTGAGAACTAGAAGTTGATGGCAATAAAAATCACTTAGACACCTAGAAGTGATGGCAATAAAAATCACTTAGAAACAAATCAGAGACTGGAACAGACACCTTCCCCTCCCCTTCTGAGCCCCAACTTAGGTTGAGGCAAATGCGATCTTTAACCAGGGCAGCTACTCATTCTTCACCTGTTAAAGTCTGAGATGATTTAATGATCAGCAATATTTATCCTGCTCTACAAATGATGGACTATCTCCAACTAACCAAGTTTGTTTTCTCCTTTTACATTGCAGAATATCATGAAGACCCTTAAACTATCAAATGTGAACACAGTAGCAACAACATCAATTAATGTCTACTAAGTTCTTACTTTGTGCCAGGTCCTGGCCTAGACACTTAAATGTTATGTCATCAACTTTAACTATAATAGCAAGTATGAAGTATACCTTACATAGAGAGGCCATGAGGAAAGCATCCGGGAAATGATGATGTTATAATGGAAAAAAAAAAAAGCCTAGAGCATAATGTTAAGCACATAGTGGGTGTCCAGTGGACAGTTTCATAAGCACGCCCCCATCTTGCATGTGTATCTTTGGTCTTTTTTATCATCCTTCCCCAGGCCCCACTCAACTCATTGACCTGGTACCAAGATAAAAATAAAATTTGGGGAAAAAAGAGAGGGAATAGGCTAAATTGTGGGAGTAGCCCAAAAATCTAAAGCGAACAAAACTTGCGCTGAGTTAAAAAATGACAGTTCCTCCAGTGACTGTCCCAGTAGTTTATAGAAGTGGGGAAGACTGTGGACATGATGGCTGATTAATGGTTATGGGCAAGGTCAGGTGCACGCACTGTCAAGCTTGCTGTGCCTTGCCATAGGCCAGCAATGGGCATGGGGTCTATGCCGAAGCTGTGAGCCAATGAATAGCTAGGCTTGCCTGCCACTCACACTTTGCCGGGAAGCTTTACCCCCACTCTCCCACAAGCAGGAAAGGGACTAAGAGCGAGCAGGCTTTCTGAACAGAACCTCAAGAACAGCTTCCAATGTTCATCTATCTCTGCAAGCACTGACTCACTTTCACCTGCCCATCCTAATATGATATTTAGTATCTATTATTCCATTGAGAAGAGACCAAACTACAAAAATGACACATAAAAGACATCTCTAGAGAAACTGGAATCCAAAAGCATTTGGATGCATTCATTTTTTCAACTATCACAGTGAACAATAGTTGGTCTTTCCCATCATGGAGCTCACAGTCTGTTGAGGGACTTGCTGCCCAAAGACACTAGAACTTGGTAAATGCTTTAAGATAATAAAGCTGTGCTCAAGGCACTGTAGAACAGAGAACATGGGGAGGGGCCTAATGCAACCACAATGCCCACACTCATTTCTCCACCCAGTGCACATACAGAGACAGCCACCAAAGCTCCTTCTGCACCCTGCTGAAATGCTGCTTGTTCTATCTGATAAGGCTCTCTGCCTCCCCGTCACTTTTCAGGCCCTCTGGCTGCACTAACATTCAAAAAACAGCACACGCTTATATCTGAATGGAACCCTAGATATCATCTGGTTGGACCTTTTTATTTTACAACCTGAGTTCCGGAGAGATAATGACTCCTATGCTGCAGAGCTAGTAGATCAAGAACTAGGACCCAGGTTTTCCAATAACCAAACAGGAAGACGTGCTATGCTGCAAGCATCTCCCTAGCTCATCTGTGGCTCCTCAGCCTCCTCAGCTTCCCTCCTGTCTCCTTTGCAACCACATTTCCCCACAAGTCCCTCCACTGCTCAGCAAAGCCTAACAGGATGACTCCAAGTTTTAGTTAATTGGTTCGCAAAACACAGCCCTGGAGTTTAATTTAAGAACAGATATAATTTCTTCTATTTTTACTCCAACTATACTCACTTAAACTTACAACCTGCCTTGTATTAAATATCTTGGGTGGCCTTACTCCCTTACTCAAACACTCCTTTTTTTTTTTTTTTTTTTTTTTTTTTTTGAGACAGAGTTTTGCCCTTATTGCCCAGGCTGGAGTGCAGTGGTGCGATCTCGGCTCACTGCAACCTCTGCCTCCCGGGTTCACGTGGTTCTTCTGCCTCAGCCTCCCGAGTAGCTGGGATTACAGGTATCCACCATGAGGCCCGGCTCATTTTGTATTTTTAGTAGAGACGCAGTTTCACTATGTTGGCCAAGCTGGTCTCAAACTCCTGACCTCAGATCATCCACCCGCCTCAGCCTCCCAAAGTGCTGGGATTACAGGCATGAGCCACTGCGCCTGGCCAAACACTCCTTCAAATGATAATGGACATCAGATCCATAAACAACATGACCTATGGGAAACACCTTGGGTCCTGCATTACATTACCAGTCAGGTTCCATCTTAACTCCACTCCTGAGAGCTGAATGACTGGGAGGAAACAAGCAACAAGGGGCTGTAGATTCTGTTCTTTGACAACTAGGGGTGATAATGAGATGCTCCTCTTGATTCATCCTTACACATGGACCCTCCTTGAGCTGTATTTTCCCCAGGACTCCGAGGAAAGCCGCATGATGGAGCAGAAAAACACAGGAGCTGGGCACCCTGGGGCCAGGAACCCTGGGAAGGAGGGCAGCCTCTCTGCTAAGTAACCTACAGCAACTGAAATCCTCTAAGCCTGTTTCCTCATCTGTAAAATGGGGATAATATCACTATTCATGTCATCATGTTCTTGTGAGAATAAAATATTTGAGGGAAGGACATGGCTTATATTAGGAGGTCAATAAATGTTGGTTTATTTCCCTTCCCACTAAAGTGGGAAAATGAGTGCCTTTACTTCTATTTAAGCCCTAACTCTGATTTGATGTGAAATCTTAATATTTCAGTTCCTCTCTTCAAGCCCTTGGCTTCCCCTTTGCAAAAAGGGCATCATTACTAGAGGACAATGTGACAAAACTATTAGGTTGGTGAAAAAGTCATTGCTGTTTTTGCCTTTAAAAGTAATGACAAAAAAACACAATTACTTTTGCACCAACCTAATGCTACTAACTGTTCCCTGATGACAGTGTGGTTACAATAGAAGCATAATTTTAACAGTAGAATGAATCATGTATGGGTATGAGGGAGAAAATAAACAATGACTAAGCTCCTACTATGTACCCAGCTTTTTAAGCACATTATTTCATATAAACTTTGTAACACTTCTGAGAGGAGGGTATTTATTATTTACCCATTTTACAGTGTGGATTGTCAAGGTTAAATAACTCAAACCAATATGGATATTAAGTAGCAGAGTTGAATATGAACCTATGTCTGTTAGAGTCCAAAGCTCACTTTCTATTTATGTGATCTTCTTACTCTCCTGGAGAGAGGTGCTCCATTTGAGGAGTAGAGTCACTCACTGTAACTCTTAAGGAGAGAAGGTACAAATATAAACTATACTAGATATATTGATTCTCCCCTGGACCCTCCTGGCCTGGCAATTTTCCTTTCACTGGGATTTTAGATGATCAGGTGGCAGATTTATGCCAGTGAGCACCAGAGGGGGATAACAGCTGGCAGAGCGCACAGTGCATGTGTGTACATGCCCACATGCAAGCACAGAGGTTCCCCAGTGCCTACCCAAACAATAACAGAGGATCAACATACAGAGACAACTTGTAAAACAAAGACCCCTGAATAAGCAGGGCTTTCTCTCAGCCTCTCCACTACTACCAAACCCTGCTGAGTTTGAGCACACCTTGAGGAAAAGAAGGAAACCAGGTATCCCTAGCTCAGGCAAAGGATATTCCCATTTTGAAAAGAATTTTAAAAACAGATTTGACCTACTGGGTCTCATAATCAAAGAATATTATGTGCACAGTTAAAGGAAATAGATTTGGAACCAAAAGATGGTTTAGCGTTGGCCCAACCACATCTGCTGTATGGTCATACACAAGCCCCTTCCCACCTCTGTCCATTTCCTCAAATGTAAAATGAGGATCTCAACAACCACCTCTCAGGTTTACCATAAATACAAAACGCAATGAGGTAAGTCAGAGTAATCTGTAAGTTGTAAAGGCTATACAAATGTCAATTGCTCTTATTGGTATTATAAATATATTATTTATTCAGTATTGATGTTCTCACATGACAAGGCCCTGTCCTTATGTTGTTTAACAATAAAAGCAAAACAAATGTGGCCTTTCACCCAGCTGCCTAGACAACCCAAGGCCTGGTGTGGGAGTAACAGGACTTGGATTGTATGAAATAAAACAGAAGGACCCAAGCTGATAATAAAATCTGGAAGGAAGGGTACAGGTTCCTCATGCTGGTATTTTGTTTTCTTCCTGCCTCTCCCTGTCTTCCCTTTCAGAGAAGGAGAACCCTTTCTTTCCTAGGGCTACTGTAACAAATTGCCACAGACTGGATGGCTTAGAACAGCAGAAACTTATTGTCTTACAGTTCTGGAGGCCAACAGTCTGAAATCTAGGTGTTGGCAGGGCCATGCTCCCTCTGAAGGCTCTTGGGGATAATCCTTCCTGGCTTCTTCCAGCTTCTGGTGGCTGCCAGAATTCCTTGGCCTGTGGCCACATCGTTCTCATCTCTGTCTCCATCTTCATATCACTGTCTCCTCCTCTTTCTGTCAAATCTTCCCTGTGTATTTCTTTTTTTTTTTTTCCTTTTTTTCTGGGGGGTGACAGGGTCTCCCTCTGTTGCCCAGGCTGGAGTACGGTGGCATGATCTCTGCTTACCGTGACGTCTGCCTCCCAGGTTTAAGCGATTCTCCTGTCCCAGCCTCCCAAAGTTGGGACTACAGTCATGCACCACCACAATCACCTAACCTTTTTTTTTTTTTTTTCTTTTTGAGACAGAGTCTCGCTCTGTCACGCAGGATGGAGTGCAGTGGCAAGATCTCAGCTCACTGCAAGCTCCACCTCCTGAGTTCACACCATTCTCCTGCCTCAGCCTCCCGAGTAGCTGGGACTACAGGTCCCCGCCACCACGCCTGGCTAATTTTTTGTATTTTTAGTAGAGACAGGGTTTCACCATGCTGGCCAGGCTGCTTGAACTCCTGACCTCAGATGACCCACCTGCCTGGGCCTCCCAAAGTGCTGGGATTACAGGTGTGAGCCACTGCACCCAGCTATGTATTTCTTACATAAACGCTTCTCATTAAATGTAGGGCCGTCTGGCTAATCCAGGATGATCTCTCCATCTTCTCAAGATCCTTAACTTCATTACATCTGCTATGACCATTTTTTCCAATAAGGTAACATTGACAAGTTCCAGCAATTAAGATGTAACATATCTTTTGGGGGAACCACCATTCAATCCACAACAAAACTCAACCAGAACAAACTCAAAACCAAAAAAAAAAAATAATATGAATGGTGTGATACTGTACTGTGGGATGTACAGAATGAGATGCTAGCTCTGACTCTAAGAAGGGAGAACTGTGAGATCCAAGGAATCGGAAGCACAGAAAGCAAGGTCAAGTCTTCTGGGAAGGACAGTGGGAGGGCTTCCTGGAGGGAGTGACGCTTGAATTGAGCTGTGAAGGATGGATTTTGATAAGGATTGGTAGGAAAAGGAAGGGAAGAAAATTCTGATGAAGGAAATTGCAAGAACAAAGATGCAGAGGTTAAAAAGACATATTTAGAAGAAGAAAATAGGGAGGAGAAAGAAGGATGAGATCAAGAATATATCTGGATGAGGAAGTAAAAATAAAAGCATCTCACCATGTCACAGGGGGAAGCAGAAAGCTAGAAATCAACCATGGTAAGGGGATGATTCCACTCCACTGCATGCTCCTGTTTCTTGATCTAGCCATCAACTACTCCTAAAACATAAGCCCTGCCCTGGGTAATTCTGCCCCTGACTGTGGAATGCAAGCAATTCACAGAGAGGTGCAGCCTTCAGGACAGGAGGTTCAAGACAGACAGACAGACTGCCAAGGATGGAGTGCCGCAGCAGAAAACAAAGCAACCCCAGCCCATTCCCTGTGCCTCAGGACACAGACAGTTGGACCCAGTTAATTGAAATTTAAGCTTCGGGCAATAGGATTTGTACAAACACCAAGAAAATAGCAGGAG
The DNA here is from genome assembly GCF_000001405.40 of Homo sapiens. NCBI lineage: Eukaryota > Metazoa > Chordata > Mammalia > Primates > Hominidae > Homo > Homo sapiens. Next base: position 78,440,867 of record NC_000014.9, on the reverse strand, counting down.
GATGCTGACAGCATGCAAATCGATGAGATGGGAGCCCTTTAAGACAATCATTCAGTTTGGGCAGCCCAGGTGCAGACAGCAATCCCTGCAGCACACCCCACCCCAACCCCTCCTCACCTCCTCCTGGCTCTCTCCTCCCCCATAGCACAGCTTCTGGACAGGCCTGATTTGCTCTAATAAAAGCAGCCTCGGCCCCAGGGAGCCTACAGGACGAACATAGTTGATTTCACCTCTTTAACCCTGGATCTAGGAAAACAGCTGAACACTGACTCTGGCCTTCCCTGGGGAGGATCCTGGAGCTTTATCTCGTGAGTTGCACGACCTCTAGGAACCTATGCACGAGTGAGATAAACTCCGTGCCCAAGAGGAAGCCTACTTATCTCCCAACAAAGCATCTTTGCAAATTACATTTTTTTTTTTTTGCATCTCAAGGAAGGGAGTATTTATAAAAATAATAGCTGCAATAACAGTAATCATCATCATCATCAGCTGATGCCTGCATCTTGGCCATTCCTCAGGGAAGAAGGTGATGGGGCCTGCAGGGCAGGATTGTGCTGGGACTGTGGGTGACTCATGTGCCAGGGGTGGGCAGCTTCCCTGAGGGTCCTGGAGCCCAATGTCTGGTTTGAGAGATATGGCTGCCACCTCTCTTCATACAAAATAAACAAATGATTAACTGTCTCATTAGCAACTATGCAGGAAGACACACAACTCACGTACTGGCCGGTGGTGCAGCCAAGAGATTTATATTATTTAACAATAAAAGCAAAACAAATGCGGCCTTCTACTCCACTGCTTGCCTGCATGAGGCCCCTCATACTAAGGCAAGGCAGTGGTGGTGGGGAATGCGGGCAATGCCCTCATGTGGGAGGACAAAGATTCCAGCCAAAAGGAAGGAGCAGGTGCCAGGCCACCTTCCTGGCATTTGGGGCCTGGGGTCCAGATCAGGGTAGGAGTAGGCAGACTGGAATAGAAGGAGGAAGAGAGGGAATGAGATGTCAGAAATGCAACATAATTTACTCAGGAGCTACTTGTGGGTGTTCGCTTCCTGGGAAGCAGAACAGGACTAGAAAGTAAGAGACCCCAGCTCCAGTCCTAGCTCTGACCCTACCAAGATGCGTGATGAGTTGAGCAAATTTCGCCTTGGTTTCCACACCTGTAAAAATTCTGCCTTGGTTTCCACACCTGTAAAATAGGGATAAAGTTTTAAGAAAAAAAGTACTATGAGAATGCAAGTCATCATTATTGCTGCTTTATTACACTGTATAGCAGCTACAGCAAGCTCTGAACTCAGACTTCCTGGGATCTGATCTCAGCTCAACCACTTACTAGCTGCGTGACCACAGGCAATTAACTTCTCTTTGTGGGCTGTAAAATGGGTATGCCAATTACATTTGCCTTTCAGGAATAAAAAAGACAATTCCCAAAGAGCGCTAAACAATGCCTGGCACACAGGTGCAGATGCTCAATGTGCTGTAGACATTACCACGTTTATCCTTGTTCTTCACCAATGCCCTTGTTTTAAACAGACAACCTAGATTTACACTTGCAAGAATTCCAATTACAAATTCTTGCCCCTAGATCTAAGCTTTTCTCTACCTTTTCCTCCTAGCCCAAAGAAAGAGGTACCCTGGTTTTTTTCAAGATACAAACTATTCTTCCCTCCTCTGGGGTTTTGATCCAAAAGTCATTTTTTTTAACTATCTTCAGATCCTTCTACCCCACTGGCTCTGTGTTCCCTCTCCCTACAAACATGATCAAGCCCCACTTATCCTACAAACAACCCCGTGCCAACCATGTCTCCCCCTCAAGCAAGTGACCTTCACATTCCTTTCCCCACTGAAGAAAGTAATCTATGTTCTTTGCCTCCACTTGCGACTCTCATTCCCTCCCTGGCTCCATCCCCCATTACTCTACTGGTGGCAAAAGACACCAAGCACGTCCAGCTTGTCAAGTCTATGCCAAAACTTCTCCCCAGGCTTCAGCTTGAGCTCTTGGTGGCATGTGGCTTGCTGACAACCCTCTCATTGAAATCCTTCTTTCTTTCAGCCTCTCCAACACAGCTGTGTCCTTGTTCTCCTACTTCTTTTCTATCTACTTTTCCTATGCCTCTTTCACTAGCTCCTGTTCTTAGCCCTCGAGTGTTATTGTCCCTCAGGGGCTAGGCTTTGGTGACCTTCTCTTCTGGCATGGGCAGCACCCGAGTGCTCTCAATAGGGTCAGACCCAGTAGGCTTAGACCCCGAGGTGCCAGGTGTGTAGAGGCTAAGAGCTTGGGGCAGTGTCGTACAGCTAAGTGGCTGATAGAGTGTTTTCAAAAGCTGTGTGATTGGGCAGTTATTAGATTAGCTGCAATAAAAGCAGCTTAACACCTGTTCTCTTATACCAGGCCACTACACACACTTGTTTCAACCCCTCACCCTTGGCAATATTTGAGTTGCTGAGCCTTGCCACTTAGTTTCTCCAAGACAATCTCACCCACTGCACAGGTCACATACCACCCCTAGTGTTGACAGGACACCAAACTTTATTTTTGCTATATATTCCTCTTTTGAACTCAAAACCAAATTTCCAGCTGCTTAATGATTCTCTCCACCTGGATGTCCAAAGAAGTCCTCAAGTTTATCTGAATCTCCAAAATTCCTTGTCCATCTTGGTTAATAATATCATTACCCACTCAGGTGTCATAGAAACCTGAGGATTATTTTTGATTCTCAATTAATTTTCCTTCTCCTCAGTTTCTAGTAATCTACCATATCCTGTCAATTTTACTATAAAACATCCAAAGAATCTGTCCCTCCCTCCCTGTCCACTCTGTCACTGTACTAATGAGCCCCATCACCACACCCCACATCTACCCCCAGGACGTTCTTTATCAAGTCCATCTTCAACACCAGCCACCAGAAAGATCTTTCTAAAATTAAGTCTGTTTGCAGAATAACCCTACTCTCCAGGGTATCTTCTACATCTGAAAACCTGGTCTCTCCTTCTACTTCTCTTACCGTTAAATTTTTTAATTGATTTATTATTAGTTAAGGTGTTCATGAAAAATCACCTGGGAAATTTATTAAAATGCAGATTCCCAGGTCTCTGACCCCAAAAGTCTAATTGAACAGTTTTTAGTGAGTCTAGGCAATCATATTTTCAACAAGCACTCTGAAGCATTTTAGTACCAGTTCTCCACAAACCACAATTTTAGAAACTGTGATCGGAAACCACAGGATGGGCTGGGCTCATCACACCTGTAATCTCAGCACTTTGAGAGGCCAAGGCAGGTGGATCACTTGAGGTCAGGAGTTCAAGACCAGCCTGGCCAACATGAGGAAACCCTGTCTCTACTAAAACTACAAAACTTAGCCGGGCATCATGGCGCATGCCTGTAATCCCAGCTACTCAGGAGACTGAGACAAGGGAATCACTTGAACCCAGGAGGCAGAGGTTGCAGTGAGCTGAGATCATGCCACTGCACTCCAGCCTGGGCAACAGAGTGAGACTCTGTCTCAAAAATAAAAAAAAAAAAAGAAAAAGAAAAGAAAAGAAAAAAATAAACCACCATATAATTGTTAAGAACCTGAACTTTGAAATCAGGCTACCTGTGGGTTGAATTCCAACTCTCCCTCAGTTAGCTGTACCTTTCAGCATGATACTTTACCTTTCCATGCCTTGGTTTCTTCATCTAAAGTATAAGGGTAATAATAACAATACCTTCAGATACTGAATTTGTCCCATGTCAGGCACTGTGCTGTCTTCCAAAGGACAGCCTCTTGATCATCATAACAACCACATGAAGGGGATGCTATTATTTACTCCATTTTCCAAATGAGGAAACTGAGGCATAGAAAGGATAAGCAACTTGCTGAAGGCTGCAGAACTAACAAATAGCAGAGCTGGGTTTTGAACACTGGTAGTTCAAACCTGCCAGAGTTCATGCTCTTAGCCATCACCCATAAGGTTGTCATGGATATTACATGAAATAACCCACAGGAAGCACTGAGCATGTTGCCCTGCACATAAGAGCTAAATAAATGATGGCCATGATTCCTGTGGTGGTTTTTAATGCTAGAACTATCATGACAGAATCAACTTGACACTCCCCAATTTGAAAGGCAGCAGGGGGTTATAGATAAGCAGACTCTAACTAACTGTGTTGTCCAATACTGTCCTCACTAGCCGCATGTGCCTGTCTACATTTAAATATAATAAATCAAAATTAAAATGTAAAATTCATGTGTCTCACGAGCCACATTTCAAGTGCTCAATAGCACATGTGGGTGGTGGCTTCCTTGCTAAAAGCAAGGATTCAAAACATTTCCATCATCACTGAAATTTCCACTGGACAGAGCTGCTGTAGAGTAAACTGCTGGAATAAAATCCCCAATCTGCTCATTGATAGTTCTTTGGCATGATTATTTTCCTCCTTGTGCCTCAGTTTCCTGATCTGTAAAGCAAGGATAATAACAGTATTCACCTTGTGTGGTTGCACTGAGGAATATACGAGTTAATATAATTAATGTGCTTAGAATATAATTAATGTACCCTGACATACAGTAGGTGACATAAAAATGTATGTGTTTATTATTACGGGGGCGGTTGGCATCATTACTAATATACTCAATTATACTTGAGCCACTTGGCACCACAGCACTGACATTTAAACCTGTGTATCTCTCCTATACCTGAGATGTTCTTCTCTCCCACCTTCTACCTGCTGCCCACCTGACAGATTCCTACACTGCCTCTAAAACCCAGTTAACCTGTGATTTTCTTTCCAGGGTTTTCACCAAGCACTCTCACTCCTGGCAGAATTCATTGCTTCTCAAGCCTACAAACTCTGGCAGCCATGCCTGCTGATTCTTCACTCCACCACTCTGAATTCCAATTGCTCTGGGTTCCTGCTCCTGTCATATTCCCTTAAAATACCTTCTAAGATTTGCAATTCTCCTTGGAAATGAGAACAAGGCATGCATTTTGGGGAACAGCCCACTGCAAGTCAGCAGATGGAGGCTTGCAAACCCTTTCATGATGAAACGCATCCAGAAAGAGAAGCAAATGTGATGTTGTGCCTTGGGCACTGTGTCCATCACAAATCCCTGGACGTCGATGTGTGACCTTTGGAAAAAGTCTCACTGGCTGTAATGTCTCTGCATTGTTCTTTGCCTGGCAATGAATTATTCTGGGTGGGAGATGAAAATGTTTCACTAAGTAATTTCTCAAATAGGTGAACTGGGAAGCCCAGAAGTTTGGGACTGGGAGGGGAATAGAAAGTGAACACTACACTTTTGTTTTCACAGAACATTTATTGCTCTAAGTACATCCTAGGAAAATAACATTTATCAAGACAAAAGAAAATTGCCAACTTTCAGAAGAAAAAGGTCTTTAATGTGAGTGCGGTGACTAACCCAGGAGGCAGAGCAATACTGCTTAGCAATGCTATAACCTCAGCCACAGCCCTGAAGCTTTCTGAGACTCAGTTTCCCCATTTGTGAAATGAAGGTAACAATCTACCTGGTAAAAAGGAAATAAGGACTAATATACATGCACCCTTCTCACAGGGCCTGTCATACAGCAGACCCTCAATCAATAGTGGCCAATACTATGTCTGGATTCCACCAAAGCTTTCCTTCCAAGAACAATCACATAAAATTTTTAAAGAATCAGGGAAGTGAAGACCAGATAGAAATGCATTTCTGTGATATTAAGGCTGAGAGTTACAGAGCCACAAGTAAGCAAACATGAATCTCCAAAGGAACTATAATTCAGCCAGATTGCACACAAGTCTCTTTGCAAAGGCCATTTAATAACATGTGGAGTTCTACAAAATCCTCTACCTGGTACCAAGTCAAGTTCCCATAGAAGGGGCATGTGGACAACCAGAAATTGTTGAATGGCTTTAGCCGCCTGCAAGCCCCTCTCTGTCAGTTGTCTCTAGACAACTAGCAAGCTCAGGTCTCTTGGATTTTAGTGGAACTGTTATTCACCTCTGTTTCCCTCTCTTCTCACCACCTGGCCTCCTCTTGGCCACAGCTGCTTCTTGAGTGGAGCAGTCTCTGCATTTTCTTCACTTCTTGTTCACTTGCAACCCATTGATCATGGCCTTCACCCACTCCTCTGTAGCTGTTCTCACCATGGTCAGCAGTATTCTTTTTATTCATCATAGCTGTCCTCACATCCCTCTGAGCAGGTATCCTGACTCAGAGGCAGGGTGACAAGCAGAATTCTAAGAATGACCTCCAATGACCCTCACCTTTGTCCAAATCCCTCCCTTTTGAGTATGAGCAAATAAGATGTGACTGTTATGATTATGTATGATATATGGTGCTATGAGTTTAATTGCATCCCCCTAAATTCATATGCTGAAGTCCTAAACCCCAGTATCTCAGGATGCTGTGTCCTTACTTGGAAACATGGTAACAGATGTAATTAGTTATGATGGGGTCATTAGGGTTGGCCTAAATCCAATATGACTAGATGTCCTGATAAAAAAGGAAATTTGGACAAGGAAAACACCATACAAATATGAAGACAGTCATCTATCTACAAGCCAAAGAGAGGCCTGGAACAGATCCCTCCCTCACAACCCTCAGAAGGAATCAATCTTGCCAATACAGACGGTCCCTGACTTGGGAAGATTTGACTGACAATTTTTCAGCTTTACGATGGTGTGAAAGTGTTACGCATTCAGTAGTCACCTTACTTTGAGCACCCATACAACCATTCTGTTTTTCACTTTCAGTACAACATTTCGATAAATTACATGAGATATTCAACATTTTACTGTAAAACAGGATTTGCCTTATGATTTTGCCCAATTGTAAGGTAACATAAGGGTTCTGAGCATGTTTAACGTAGGCTGGGCTAAGCTATGATGTTTGGTAGGTTTGGTGTATTAAATGTATTTTCAACTTACAATATTTTCAACTTACCATGGGTTTGTCAGGACATCACCTCGTTGTAAGTCAAGGAGCATCAGTAACTTCACTTCAGACTTCTAGCCTTCAGAACTGGGAGGCAACAAAATTTTGTTGTCCGAGCCACTGTTTTAGTCCATTTTGTACTGCTATAATAGAATACTGGAGACTGGGTAATTTATAAAGAGCAGAGATTTATTTCTTACCGTTTCTGGAAGCTAAGAAGTCCAAGGTCAAGGAGCCCACATCTTGGGAGGGCCTTCTTGCTGCATCATCCCATAGTGGAAGATAGAAGAGAGCATGCACGCAAGAAAAGGGAAGGGAGCTAAACTCATCCTTTCATCAGGAACCTACTTCAATGATAACTAATGTTCTCCCTTGATAATGACACAAATCCATTCATAGGGTACAGCCCACGTGACCTAATCACCTCTTAAAGGTCCCAACTCTCACATTGTTGCATTGGGGACTAAGTACCCAACATATAAACTTTGGGGGACACATTCAAACACAGTAGCCACCCAGCTTGTTACGGCAGTCCTAGCAAGCTAACGTACATGGCAAAAGGAAGATTATCTAGGTGGGCCCAATAGAATCACATGAGCCTTTAAAAGGCAGAGCATTTTCACCAGCAAGTAGCAGAAATCAGAGATTTGAAGCATAAGTAGGATTTGATGAACCATTGCTACACTCAAAGATGTAGGCAACGTGACAAGGAATCCAAGAGACCCTTAGGAGCTAAGAGTAGCTCTTGGCTGACAACAAGAAAAAAAATGGGGACTTCAATCCCATAACTGTGAGGCATAGAATTTGGCCAACAATAGGCCTGAGCTTGGATAGGGGTTCTTCCCAGAATCTGCAGATAAGAGCCCACCCAGGCAACACCTTGATTGCAGCCTTGTAAGACCCTAAGGAGGGGGACTCATCAAAGCCTGCTTTTGCTTCTGACCTACAGAACCGTGAGCTAATAAACGTATCTTGTTTTAAGCCACTAAGTTTGAGGTAATTTGTGACAGCAGCAATAGAAGAATAATACAGACTCCAACCCTTAGATCTCTTCCCTGACGGGTCTTCTTACAGGATCACGTGAAGTCTGTGTTCTTAGTCATGGACTGCAAGCCCTTCACTAAGTTTTCTCCACTCCTTACTGCCACAGTTTCCCCATTGGTCAGACATTCCTGATTCCAACAATTATACCAGTCTGTCAGGTATACCTGCCAGTCTGTCAGGAAATGACAAGAGACTTGGAGTTGAAGGTATTAGGACAAGAGGAAGGTGAGGGAAGAAGGAATTAGAAGACAATATAACTTAAAACCAGGCAAGGCAGCTTTACTGAACTTCTCTTTTTCACCTGAGGCATAGGAGCTTGCCCAGGCCACCAAAACTCTCTGGGCTTCTCACCTGCTGGAAAGAAACTATTTCCTTCCTCATGCACATGCTTAACATCTTCCGCTTCCCTACACTGACACTTTTTCACTGTTGGGTCGACAGGGTCAGAAGAGCTTGTTCTAGCCAATGCTGAACAGCTTGATACTTCTCAGAGGTAAACCTTGGCAGGCAGCAAGGGGTCAAGTTGCAAAACACCTTTAGATAAAAGGAGACAGTACTGCAGGCACACATGGTGGAGAAAGGAGCTGAGACATGTCAAAAAAAAAAAAAACCTGAGTGCAGCTTTGGAAGATGGGTCTGGCAAGCCATACACACACTAAGGAGCAGCCTTGGCATGTGAGCTGCTAGAATTCCCATCTGGAAATTCTGCAGGGCAAGTCAATGTGACTGGTGTTCTGAATATGCCAACGTTAGGATACAACTTTCAGAAACAAATTCATTTTATTTCAAATTATTCCATCTTCAAGCTTCAGACTCACCTCTTCTCCTGGAGGTCTCATGGGCCCCTCTAACTCAACATGTCCAAAATGAATCCATCATCTTTTCCTCCCCCATAATGGCACCAGTACTGAATACCCCGGTTAAAATCCTGGCCACGGAAAGAGTGTAGCCTTGGGTTCAAATCCCAACTCTGCCTTTTACTGGCTTACTGACCTATGAGCCTTAGATTCCTCATCTGCAAAGTGGGGATAATAATAATACTTACCTCCAAGGAATGTTGTAAGAAAATAATGAGAAAATTCATGTAATGGCTGTAGTTCAGTAACTGCCTATAGAAAGCATGCAATGAGAGTTAAGTTCAAATATTGCTATTATTATTATTACTTTATAATCTGTAAAACTGAGGAAGTAGACCAGTCACTAAAGCCAGTTTCAACCCATAAGCATCCGTGAGGTCTACACATAATTTTTTTTTCAGATGCTCCCTCCTACCTATCATATGAAGACCAAAGATATACTCCCCAACACACAAGCACATACTTTCCCTCCCCTTTGTCTTTCTTTGCTCCAGCTGTTCCTTTGCCTACACAAAAGATTTATACTTATTTCTGTCAAAATCACATCAATTTTCCAAAACTGAGCTAAAATGTCAAATCATCAACAGAACCTTCCCTGATCCTCAGCTAGAAATAATCCCACTCATTCCTATACTCCTATTGCCATACCCTTAGGGAACATCACATTGCATACAGTACGGGTGTTCGAGGATACTCTTCTTCCCTTCCCATTAGATTTAAGCTTCTTGAGGTCAAGCGATGACAGTAATTCACCTTAGTTTCCCTTAGTGCCTATCAAGTTCCCTGGACCTAAAGAAAATTAAATCCATAAACATTATTTGAATGAATGACTAAATGAATGCAGAATCTCCTATGTACCCTCTGGTAATAAAGAGGGAACCACACCTAGGGGAAATACACAGGCTGCCTTGCTGGTCTGCTTCAGAGGCCTCCATATTTTCTAAATACATCAAATCAGTACTTAAGGTGGATTTCACTCACCTATTTTAAAATAACAATTCATTCAGTATAAATTGTCTTAAAAAATAGAAAAATTTTTTAAGAATTAGAAAACAAGGGAGTTGGGCAGAAAGGCAGAGGAATGAAGCAGATGCTAATAGCATTGGACCTGCAATTCCCAGAACTCTCTAGGATGAATATGAACTCTAGGTACCCAGAAGGAAAAATAAACATAAAAACAAAATAAAATCGACTCCCCAAAATTGCAATCCATCTTTACAAGGTCAGTACCAAGTGAGCACAACCTTCAGCTGTCTGGTCAAGGTTGGTGGATTAGGATTTATTTCTTTATTGTTCCAAATGGGTTAGTAGAGAATTGTTTCTGCCACAGTGCACCCACTTCTCTGAACAAGACCTATGCAGGGCAGAGGTATGAAAGCCTTTCAGCTGGATGCACATGGGCTGAGCTGGAGGACCACTCGCTATGAGGGTCCTAAGGTGGGTCCCTGATGGTCCCATTGTTTTTGGCTATAAATCTGAGGAAACAAGATGAGAAGGAATGTGGTGTCTGAACAAGAGCACTGGACTAGTATTTATAAAACCTTAGGTGCTGGCTTTGTCCCTGCAAGTCTGCTTTTATGAAAGTCACTTAGCCTCTTTGAGTCTCACTTTTTCCATCCATGAAATGAGAAGTTTTAGCCAGACTGGTGGAAACATTTAGCCATAGTAACGCTAGAAGAGTGCCTCTAAAAATACTAATTCCCAGGGTTCACCCCACAGATGGATGGATTGCTCCAAGACAAGACTCAAGCATCAGTGATTTTAAAGTTGAGAACAATGGGATAAAATAATTATTCTTTTTCATTTTTCAAAAATTGAGACAGGGTGTTGCTCTGTCACCCAGGCTAGAGTGCAGTGGTGTGATCACTGCTCACTGCAGCCTTGACCTCCTGGGCTCATGTGGTCTTCCCACCTTAGCCTCCCGAGTGGCTGGGACTGTAGACGTGCAACACCATACCCAGCTAATTTTTTTAAACATTTGTTTTAGAGGTGGGGTCTTGCTATGTTGCCTACGCTGCTCTCAAACATCTGGCCTCAAGCAATCTTCCTGCCTTGGCCTCCCAAAGTGCTGGGATTACAGGCATGACCCACCATGCTCAGCCCATCCCTTTCAATTCTAATGCTCATTGATTCAGTAGGAATCTTTGTAGAAATCAAGAAGTTTCCTTTTCATCATAGGGGATAAGTCTGAGACAAAAATCTGACAGAAAACTAAGTGATCTATATGAGTAATAATACTAACACATATTTTCAGCTCCTAATGGTCTACAAATCTATCTTCTCTGAGTTAAGACATCTCTGGGGTGTTGTGCCCAGGCCTCCATCACTGGCCATCTTAACTCCACACAGACCCTATTAAAGCAGGGCTTGGTCAGGAGAATGGAGCAGGAGCTGGCACAACAAATAGAACTCCCTCTGTGTGCCTGAGTGGCTCCTCATGCCAAAGCAGGTGCTGATCATCTTGTGTGACTATCTGAGTAAAATCTATTCCAAGCACAGCTCCCTTTCAAGTCCATACTCTGGAGATATATTATTAAGTTGACTTTATGATGCGGATTCATCACATTGATTAATAAGTTTTGGCAACTAGAGTAGGATTTGTATCCACACTAAAAAGAAGAAAGCTGAGGAACTAACAATATCTAGCACATGTTGCATATTTAATAGTAATTACTGACTGGGCGTGGTGGCTCATGCCTGTAATCCCAGCACTTTGGGAGGCCGAGGCGGGTGGATTGCTTGAGGTCAGGAGTTCAAGACCAGCCTGACCAACATAGCAAAACCCCATCTCTACTAAATATACAAAAAATATATATATATATGTTTGCACACACTTTTAATTCCAGCTACTCAGGAGGCAGAGGCACGAGAATTGCTTGAACCCAAGAGGTGGAGGGTTGCAGTGAGCCAAGATTATGCCACTGTACTCTAGCCTGGGTGACAGAGCAAGACTCTGTCTCAAAAAATAATAATAATAATAGTAATTATTGGTCTGAGGTTGGGGTTAGACTTAGGGTTAGGGTTGTAATATCACTGGGAATAGGGTTAAGGATAAGATTGGTGTGATGATTAAAATGATTAATTTTAGGTGCAAAGTTGATTGGGCTATCAGGTACCCAGATACTTGAACAAACATTATTCTAGTTGTTTCTGTTAGGGCGTTTTTTTGGGTGAGATTAACAGTTAAATTTGTAGGTTGAATAAAACAGATTGACTGTGCATAGGCTTCATGCAATTGGGTGAAGAGCAGAATAGAACACAAAGGCTGACCTCCCGCAGTAAGACAGAATCTGTCCTGTCTAATGGCCTTTGAACTGAAACACTGGCTCTTCCTCAATCTCAGACCTGCCAGTCTTTAGACTAGAACTACAACATCAGCTTTCCTGGGTCTCCAGCTTGCCAACTCACCCTGTAGAGCTTGGGACTTTTCAGCCTCCATAATCACGTGAGCCAATTTCTTTTAATAAAAATCTCTCTTCTGTCCTCTCTCACTGTCTCTCTCCCCTCTCCCTCTTTCACTCTCTCTCAATAGGAGAGAGGCATATTATACATACACATCCTATTGGTTCTGTTTCTCCGAAGAACCCTGAATAATATAGTTGGGATAGAGTTGGAAATTGAGATAGAGTTGGGGTTATAGTTTAGTCTAGGTTGGGGTTAGGATTGGGGAATACAGCTGGGCATATTGTTGGGAATAGGGTTGATGTTGGCCTAAGTTTTGGCTTAGGGTTGAATTAGGGGAGAGTTGTGGAGGGAGACAAAATGTCTAGCATCACTATTACTGATGTGACCTTTAACAAGGGAACAGAAACTGATTATTGAGTGGCTACCAAGTATTATTCTTGATTCTTTTATTTGCATAACAATAACAGCAATACTTATTATTCTTAAGTCTCAACTACATGGCAGGTGCTATGTTTGTGGTTTTGACTTTTACCTCATTTAGTCCTTTTAAAAACCCTGTAAAGTAGATATTATCTTATATTTTTAAACAAATCAGAAAACTGAGGTCATCAAGAGATAATCAAACATGTCCAAACTCACAGGCAGGAATGTGATGTTTGAACTCAGCTCTTTCTGACTCCAAAGTCATTTGGTGCCTAAGCACTGCCTGGGATAGTAAAGAATTGGTAACATCCCCCAAAGGACAAGAAATCAGGAGGGACCCCTTTCTTCTTCAGTGGAAGGTCAGGAAATGCCTCTGGCTAATGGGTAGAGGTGGGAAAAGGAAGATGTATTATCTTTCTTTCAGGGCATCAGTGATATCTGTGTTCTTAGCCTGGGCTCTGATTGATAACTTGCTTCCCTGAGTGAGACTAGAGGCATTTTTTCTTTCCAAGGGAGACTCTGTCCCACTTAGTCTAAGTGATATGCAGCCTCCATGTCCATCTTCTGCTCTGTGACATCAGCAATGAGTTATTTTCTTTCTTCATATCAACCCCTTCTGGGACCCACCCAAAGATGCAATTTCTTTTACATTTTTCTCCTCCTTCGGAAGGCTCCTTCCAGAGTCACATAAATGCCAGATTCATTATACCAGTTCTCAGGTAGAAGCCTGTGTTAAAGAGGCTTCGATCGATCTTTTAAATAAAGCTGGCAAAATATTTCACTTACTCTGTGCTTTCTGTTCCCTGATGTCCTCCAACCAGCTTTACCTCCTGGCCCTGCTCTGCCATGGAACCAGGCACCTCCCTCCTCCCACCCTCCAGGGTTTGGCTCATAACAAACACACTTAGAATTGGAATAGGTACTTTTATCAGCAGATTTTTAACTCGCACAAGGGAATAGACAGGTTGCCCAGTTCCTATTTCCCTGCAGGGGAAGTTGAGAAAAAAGAAAGTGAGATAACTGAAATCAAGCAAATCTAGAGAAAATAGCTTTGCCTCTGACCCACAGACACCGCCTCCTCCTTCCGTGGGGGCACCGCTGCCTCCTAAGGAACTCCTAGACTTGCCCTTACCTTCCCCTTGACCCTTTTGCTCCTCCTTCCCCCTCAGTCTTTTCCTCCTTGGGGCTTTTAAAAACATTTTTCTCCTCCCAGCCTGATTTTCCTTTTGAAGTAATCAGGAAACTATGAGATTCTGCAAACAGCATCAAACTTGAGGGCTGAACATGTTTATTCCAAATCTGAACTCTGCCTCTCTCTGGTTTGGGCAGGATCTCTAACCTCCTCTAGGCTCAGTTCCCATGGTCTGTGATGGGGTTCAGAACACACTACCCCAAAATACAGCACTTTGGCATGTTGAATATTTTAATCTAAAAAAATTTGAGAAAACCCAGGAAGAATTTTCTGACCTTCCCCTGAAGCAGGTCACATGAGAGGTGCCCAGAGGAAGGGAGCATACTTATCTGCCAAGACTAGGGACCCAGGGAGGAATCCAGACAGGCCCAGCTACATTTCCTGGAGTTCACTATGCTTACCTCACACTGTTTGCCCTATCAAGTTTCTCCATGCCTTTTCACTCTTCATCAAGACTGCCATAAAAAACACCCAGGGTTAACTGTTCTTCAAATCTTGGTTACCTTATGAAGGCTCCCCTGTTACATAAAACATAGTAAATAATTTTGTGTGCTATTCTCTTCTTAATCCATCTTTTGTTATAGGGGCCCCAGCCAGGAACCTAGAAGAGTAGAAGGAAAAGATTTTTCCCCTTCCTCTGCAACCTGTGAATGGCAGTGAGATCCCCTTCAATGCAGAGTCCCTACTGTCAAGGTGTTAGATGAAGCTGTACCTCACGTGCCCCTGGAAGAAGCCAATGCAAGTGTCTGAAACAACAGCAGACCTAGTGTCTTTGGAGGATCACGGTGCTTGGGCCACCCTGTAAGGGACCCTATACCCTCTCCTAAGTCCCCTCCAGCCTCTGCTCTCATTTCCTTGATGTGTCCTCTCCCACCTGGCCTTTGAAAAGACAGCTAAGTTGAGAAGAGTCAATGAGCTCTCTGGGAAATGGGGAGAAGCAGACAGGCCCCTGTGCTCCCCAGGATGGTCCTGCTGGCCTCAGGGCAGGTGATGCCTGCTCCTGGCTACCCACAACCTATGCAGCACATACTTCACTTCCTGGAACTGCACAGGAAGTGCCACTTCTGGATCTTCCAAGAATCAGGTGCCCAGGCCACTCACGTGGTGCGTATTTATAACTTCTTGGGCCTTGACTACGGGCCAAATGTTACACTCACAGCTAATTTCCTATTAATTAGGTGCTGCAGTTCCTCAGCTAAATAAATAACTAGCCAGACAGGAGCCCTGAGGTTCAGAAAATGCCACGAACTGTGGTACAAATCGAAGAGGGGTGAAGGAGGTAGGGCCAGGAGCCAAGAGTGGGTGGGGGAAGGGGTAGAAAATATATTATTCTGAGGGCTGCTTCTGAAATCACCAAATTATTACTCGTTGGCCTTATAAAGCCTTTAGAAAGCTACTAAGAACGTTTCTAGCACTCTCCATTCAGGGTAAGAAGAGTCTGAAGGAATGCAGAGGGTTTAGTCAAGGGGTGGGAGGGGCCCCTGCTGGCCTGTGAGCCAGCTTTCTCAGTGGTGCCATCTGGATGGCTGCATCCACTGTAGCACCACCTGGTCCAATCTGAATCACTTGGGTGGGGCTTGGGAATATGCAGATTTGACACTTCCCCCACAGATCATTCCTGTACATGCTAAAATTTGGGAAATACTGCCACCAAGATTCCTGGACAATACTCTAAGATGCCACAGGACCTCAGCTAAAATCTAGAAACATTTCTGAAACACTTAACTATGTACCAAGTGCCTTCCACATGCTCCCTCTTCTCTTTTATCCTCACAACACAGAATGAGAGACCACTGTGAAACTACAAGTGAGAAAACAGAGACTTTCAAAAATTAAATAGCTTGGGTAAGTTAAAGATCGAGGAAGTGGCAGAAGCAGGCTGATCCATCTTGAGTACATTGGATACTGGTCTATTGGTCAAAGACATCTTCCAGTCCCACCAAATTATCAAGATGAAACTCCTTATAAACTTCTGAGGCTGTAGTTCAGTCCAATTTGTAGATCCATCTCGAGGAAGCTGAGAAAATCAGACAAGCCACTGTCCTCAGACACTGAACAACCAAGGGACCAGCATGTCCACAACAGGAGTCCAGAGTATTAAGAACACAGCAATTACACCAGACTGCCTCTCTCTAAATCTAGATTCCACTTCACTATGTATTTTAGAAACTTTGGGCAATGTACTTTATTTCTCTGTGCCTCAGTTTCTCCATGTATAATGATGATATGGGAATGACCCCCTCATTTTGTTGTTGGAAGGACTGGGACCGTGCACAGGCATTGTACCTCCTACAGATTTTAGGCTTATCTACTGAGTCAACCCAGAGATTCAAACTCCAGCAACTCTAGAAATCTCATCCTGCTTCCCTCCAAAGGTAATACCTGAATCATCAGCCCAGATACTTTGCTTTTGCTCTGGGGATGTCTCAGATTACAAAGACTCATTCTTTGATAAATGCTTTATAGGACATTTCCTCTAGCACTATGAATGTCTTTCTATAAATAATTAAACTAAACTGGCTACTGAAAGAAATGATCAAAAGCCACAGTGGGACGATGACAGGAACTTAAATATTTTGCTTTGTTCCAACAGTCTGTCCAGATACTTCCTGATTTTCCTTGGAGGACAGGAGGGTGAAGGGAGGAGCACAGTCCCCATGGCTGAATAGCTTTCACATTGAAGACATCAAGGGGAAGGCCCAGGGACTGAGGACAGGCATTGGATGCAAATTCAGAACTGACAAACATGAAGACTAGCAAGGAAAGAAGACATCTAAATGGACTTTTCTTAAGGGTGCCCACTGCAGGCCAGAGGCAAGAACAATGTGGTAAGAAAACAACCAGATGGTAGCAAAAACGTAGGAGATAAAATGTAGAAGGAGAAGAGAGCTGCAACCTCAACACAAATAGAGACCTCCCACCTGCCTAGGAACCCCTGCACCCGCCAAGGTAGGCCCCATACTCTGATCCAAAGAGGGAGCCTTGAGTTTGGTCAAGAACCCCCGCTAAATGCATTTCTCTCTTTCATCTAGACTATAAACCACTTTCCTGGAATTCACTTAAGATGCTCTGACCCTAGCCTGGAGTTTTTGCAGACGCTTGTTCATATATTTGTGCCCCTACGGGAACAATATTTCCTTAAGCGGAAAGTCTTCCTCTCACTGCTAGTATCCAGATTCTTTCATAATAATACTATAAACCCTTGCTAATAGTCCCTAACTGGACTGCTACAGTGAAGTGGGCATTAAAGGACACTTAATAAATGCAGATGCATTATTGGTACAATTACTTTTGCACCAACGTAATACTTTCTAGCACATGTGGAGACAGGGAACATGCAAGGGGTCTTGGTAAACTTATCAATGTTTTTACTAAGAGAAAAGAATCAGCTGTAGCTAAGGCTACTTTACTTGAAAAGAGTTTGTGGGCCTTTAGTCTTAATTAACATACTTCTGTCTCCCCACTCCACCTCCATTATGTGGATAAACTCAAGCCCACCCAAGGACCAGATTATCACAAATTCTGTATTGATGAGGCGCCGTCATTCCAAAGACAACTCTGCTCAAATTTCCAAAATAATGTACCGGGCAGTGGAAGGTTGGAGGAGGGGAGGTATAAGCGCTCCTAGCAGGCTGTGAGCATGGGCTGATTTTTTCCCCTTAGAAGTGAATTTATAGTCATAGATTCCAGGAGGAGAAAAAAAATTAGGTGAGAGGTTGAAAATGAGCAGCAAGTTTTGGCGTCTGAATGTATCTGTAGCCCACATATTCCTTCCCCTAATAGCCTATGTCTTCTTTCTCTTCCTGTCCTTGGTTTCTGTATAAATGTGACTGAGGAGGAATTCTCCTTCTGCATTTTTACTGAGCAACAGTTTAGGGTAGTTATATTGTCACATTTCCAGTTGGAAATGCTAATTAAGTTAAACCAAATCTCCCCTGTCCCCACCTCCAAAAGGCAGAACTGGCAAAACCAACACAATTTAGAGCCACTAACTCTACAATTAGCCTGATTAGGAATAGTTTGCTTTTTTGTTTCATGCTTTCAAGTTTGGGGAGGCATCTTGTGATATTTGTTTGTTTTTAAGATGACACTTTTGCAATAATTATCAGGGGAATTTTCCTATCCACGTCTCTCTTGGGGAGGATTAGCCCTGGGTTTCAGGATGTGAGACTCCATCACCATAATGCTTGGTCTCAAATGCACTGGCGTTTCATAGCCCTTTTCCAGTCATTGCAATCACTGATCAGTTTGCATTCTTCCACTTCTGATTTCTGCAAGTCTTAACCACTTCATTTTGTGAACTGAAAGAAAGAGGCAAAGCCACTTCCCAAAAGTCTTAGTGCCTCTAGCATTGTGCTGGGCACATGGTCTGCACTGGATAAGTAGGTGTTGATTGATTTCTTGATTGATTAACCCATATTACAGTGCAAAGCCTTAGCTCTCTGGTATGTTGAAGCACACACTCTTTCCCAAAGAAAAAAATTATACAGTGACTCTGCTAAGAGCTTTCTCTTGGTTAACACCATGATCCCTCCAACCACCTCAAAATACTAGATCTGTCTCCCCACCAGCTGATTCTAAACCTTTGCATTGAAGAGTTCATTCGTTTACCAAACATTTGTGAGAGACTACTATCTGCCAGTAATGGAGGGATGTTCAAAAGTGACGAAACAGACCATTCAGAGGAGGAGCCACACATTCATCCAATAACCTCAAGAATGAATGCAAAATTGCAACAATGATAAGAGTTCTGAAGTGTTACAAGGGCATTCAAAGAGGAAACCTGATCGTATGTGGGGGCCAGGGAAGGTTACCTGGGGAAGTACCATTTGAGCCAAGCCCTGAAGAGTGAAAAAGTGACCCCCAGGAGAAAGGCAGAAGTGCAAGTCCAGCAGTGGCCTTGGCTAGAAACCTTCACCTTTGCACAGCACACATCACTTCTCCGATCCTCCAGGGACCTGTGAGGAAGGCATGGCCACTTGTTTACCCCAGACTCTCAGAAGCTCAGGCTTATCCTCCATGAGCCAACTAATAAACGGAGCATCTAGGACCAAGCCCTCTGCCTGCTCCCATTCCAATACTGCATAAGATTAACATGCCACTAGAGAAATAGCTGGCGCTTGTTGCTTTTTTTTTATGGTTGCAAAGACAATATGTGATTATAAGGGAAAAAGTTAATCAGAAAGATGTAAATAGGAAAATTAAAATCAGGCCAGGCGTGGTGGCTCGTGCCTGTAATCCTAGCACATTGGTAGGCTGAGAGGGCAGATCGCATGAGCTCACAAGTTTGATGCCAGCCTGAGCAATATAGTGAGACTCCATCTCTTTTTTAAAAAATAAAATGAAAGAAAGAAAGAAAACTAAAATTACCTTATATCCAGAGATGGCCAATGAAAAATGTTTGTCTGTTTCTCTGGAGAATATTTGCTAGGGAAAGAGAGATGGATATACTGACTTAAAAAAATCAAGAAAGTACTTTAAAGAAAGAAATAGTCTCCATTTTATACCTAAATCTATCTGTATTTATCTATAATATCCCCATTATTAAATACTCTCCTAAAACGTAGTTTTTAATGGCTGAAAAATATTCCTAATATTATATCTATAAGGCATCATAATTTATTTATATCCTCCTTGTTAGACCAGTGGAATATTTTTAACTGGTCGCTATTTTATTTTTAACTTTTGCTGTTTTGAATGATTTAGTAACAATCCTCCAGCTCCTACAATGTAATCACGTTTTCTTTTCTTTTTTTTCTTTTTTTTTTTTTTGAGATGGAGTCTCAGTCTGTCACCAGGCTAGAGTGCAATGGCACAATCTCGGCTCACTGCAAGCTCCGCCTCCCGGGTTCAAGAGATTCTCCTGCCTCAGCCTACTGAGTAGCTGGGACTACAGGCACATGCCACCACACCCAGCTAATTTTTGTATTTTTAGTAGAGACAGGGTTTCACCATGTTGGCCAGGATGGTCTTGATCCCTTGACCTTGTGATCTGCCTGCCTTGTAATCACATTTTCTAAGAGAAATGTCGATGAGGGCAGTGCTGGGTCCCCATGCTGTGCTGTCTACACAGCACACATCATGCTCTCCAACTCTCATAAGTTCCCTACATTGAGCCTTTGCCCCATGGAGGTAACAGGTGCACTCCCTGAGCCTCCACCCGAATCCATTTCAAAAACCCACTTGTAAGATCCTCAGCCAAGGCTATAGCAGTGGAACGAAGTCAGAGCCACCAGTTTGCATGAAAACTGAGATCTTGGCCTTGAGTTCATTGGCACTTAAGCTATCAATGCTCTTTTAATTTTCCAATTGTCATTATTCAGATCCTCAGGACATTTTTTAAATTGAAGTGGACCTTAAGTGTGATCTTGAAATTCATAGTTTTCAGGTGAGAATATTCGTTATTAATATATTTCATAGCTCTTCTTTTGCCTATATATTCTTCCATTCTCACCCTGAAGCTGCACATTTGTTCCCAAATGCAACAAATGATAGCACTGAAAGGTGAGGAGTGTAAATGTTTTGCCTGGAGCTGGAAACTGTTCACATTAGTTTCATGGTAACCCAGATGAGGAACATGATGAAAAAGATAAATTTTATTGCATCCCTCTCTATAACATCCTCTTCACTTTATTACTAATAATCATATTTCACATATCTACCACTCATATGTAAGGGCATAAATCTGTAGTTGCAAACTGATATAAACTTTTCTCTACTACCTTTCCTGTATAAAGATTATGAGAATTTTACTGATTCATTAAGGTTTTGTTTTGTGATTTAAAAAATATATATTTGTAGGTTTTATAATTTCAAAAAGTTTGAAAATCCTCTAACCAAGCTAATCTACCAAAACATTGTTCACATATTCATCTGCCTTATCCCCCTGCTTAGACTGTCAAGTCAACTTGGGACAAATAACCCCATTTTACCTTTTTTTTCCATCTTCCCTGCCCAAAAGCAGAAGTTGAGTGCTGTGCATACAAGAGGCATCCCTTCTTCCCCCAAAAAACTATGTATTATTATCACTGGTAGTCAGGACTTTACGTGTGTGTGTGTGTGTGTGTGTGTGCGTGCGCGCGCGCGCGCACACACGTGCACACAGATATATATACATTACACACACACATGTAAAGTCCTGACTATGAATGATACTGAGAGCTGAGAAAGAGTCAGTTAGCCATGATCATCAATACGAAGTCTCCAAGGCATGTCAGTGCCAAGACATGGTGTTCTGGCTTCAAACTCAGTGGAATAAAACAGGCTCCCCTTCACCCAGTCTCTAGAACTATTCCCTTTGTTTAACCTTTAATTATTCATTACCACTACTGTTTTTCAAGTCCACAATCACCAGAAGGGGCTTGGAATCCCCCACACTCTAATTGCCACGTGGTCTTTGCATTTGAAGATGATGAAAGTTCTCCTTGAGCCGTATCCCCAGGGAAGAGGTGAAAACTGACTATGAGAGGGAGATCTGGATGGATGGGATAAAAAACACTTCCTAAACCAAAATTTAAAAGTTGGACTATGGCCAGGCATGGTGGCTCATGCCTGTAATCCCAGAACTCAGGGAGGCCGAGAAGCCTGGCCAACATGGTGAAACCCCATCTCTACTAAAAATACAAAAATTAGCCAGGTGGTAGAGGCAAGCACCTGTAATCCCAGCTACTCAGGAGGCTGAGGCAGGAGAATCGCTTGGGCCTGAGAGGCAGAGTTGTAGTGAGCCAAGATCACACCACTGTACTCCAGCCTGGGTGACAGAGTGAGACCCTATCAAAAAATAAAATAAAATAAAAAAATTAAAAAGTTGGACTAGAGGCTTAGGAGACAAGCAGCCTAAGAATGAACTCAGGTCCCACCATGAACTAGCTGTGTGACCTTGGACATGTTACTGAATCTCTAAGTCTCAGTTGTTTGATCTTTGAAATAAGGATAATAATAACCCACCCCAAAGATGGTGCTGAGGGGTAACTGAGGCTCTTCATGTAAAGGTTGGCAATGTGCCCAGCACAGAGTTAGCACTCAATAAACATTGGCTGCACTTGTTAGTGTAAATGTTGTTTGGGAGGTAATATAGTGACAACTTGAGAACATACAGTGCTGTGTTAGATTAAGTTGAAATCCCAGCTCCTCCAAGCTTGGGCAAGTTTCTATGCCTCTCTGTGCCTCATCTGTAACATAGAAATGAAAATGTATCTGCCTCATAAAGTTATAAATTGAAATGAAGTAAGCCAGGTAAAAAGCTTGGCATGGTGCCTGGCATGTTGAACACATCCAATATATGTACATCATTATTATTAATAGTACTATTACCATTGCTACCAGAATGACTTTCATAGGACATATACCGGGAATAAAAGGATGTAAGAAAATGCTTGTTTCTAAAGACCAAACAGCAGCCTACCTTTTTCCTCCTGTATTTGCCTTGTTTCCTTGTAAGGCACACTCTGACATGTTTCCAAGCTGCATGGAGTTTCTTGCCCCAATCTGTCTGCAAATTACAGTAAGAAAGGGGAGTCCCATGTTCTAGGCTCAGAGATCTTTCCCTTCTTTTCTAGGAGCTTATGAACCTTAGCTACCAATGTGGGAATGCATTCTCCCTTCTCCTACCACCTCTGGAATTTACTCCAAGATTCCTTATTTCTAAGGGCAAAATGAGAAATAGAGTACCAAAGGAAAATGTGGGCCCTTCAGAGAAGCTTGGCAGCCCCAAATCCACCAACATAAATGAAATAATCAGCTGTACTTATTTCTAACACACAAAAGCCCCAGAAATGGAGCAGATTCTGGGTCTCAAATCCATGTGTGTAAGACTTGCTTAATTTCTCACGTAATGCTAACTAGTAAAACATTCCCCAGTCCACCCCAGGCTAATATATCTCTATGCCCTTGCCTAGGCTTTTAGGTCCCAGAGCCATACAAATTTCACCTTCATGGAGAACATGCACACTAATTCCAACCTAAATATGCAACCTCAGGCCAGGCTTGGGGGCTCATGCCTGTAATCCCAGCACTTTGGGAGGCTGAGATGGGTGGATCATCTGAGGTCAGGAGTTTGAGACCAGCCTGGCCAATGTGGCAAAACACTGTCTCTACTAAAAATACAAAAATTAGCTGGGCGTGGTGGCATGCACCTGTAATTCCAGCTACTCAGGAGGCTAAGAGAGGAGAATCGCTTGAACCCAGGAGGTGCAGGTTGCAGTGAGACCAGATCGTGCCATTGCACTCCAGCCTGGGGGACAAGAGTGAGACTCTGTCTCTAAAATAAATGTGTAACCTCAAAACAGGAAGCTCCTCAGATCAAAGGAGACTCAGATTCAAGATGAGAATCTTGTCTCCACTGCTCATGTGCTTCTGTGACAACCCAAAGAGGTATTTTCATAAATTTACTAATACCACAAACATTTATTGAGCATCTCCTCTGGGCCAACCAGTTATTGTGCTGGTTTCTTGGGATACCCATATTATTAAGATGGGTTCCTGCCTTCAAGGAGCTCACAGTCCATCTAGTAGTAGAGCTACAGGCCTAAATAAGTCATAATAATGCTATGTGAGAAGTGAAATGATGAGGGGAGAGACTCAGGAAATTATGAGCACAGCCTGAGAGCATCTGCGCATGCTCCCATGGGGGCATGTTTGTGGTGCATCTTCCAGCACCAGAAGGAGTTGGCCAGGCAAAGGAGGTCAGAGTCAGGAAGCTGGGAGAGCACATCTCAGGCAGACAGAAGGACATGAACAACAGTGTGGAGAAGTGAATCACGGTATGTAGGTAGCATGGAAAGTTCAAAATGGGCAGTGGCGCAAGATGAAGCTGGACAGGTGGGCAGGAGCCAGACTATGGAGAGCCTTGTAAGCTAAGCTAAGAGTGTGGACAACATCCCACAGGCATTGGGAAGCCATGATGGCTTTAAGCCGGGGGCCAGCATAGTTGACCTTGCATTTCAGGGAGATTGCTCTGGGGGCTGCAGGACAAAATAGTCTTGAGACCACAAGTGGTAAGACCAGTTACAAGGTTACAGCAGGAGCCCAGATAAGGTATAATTTAAGCCTGATTTCTGTCCAGTCCTTATATCTGTTTAAATAAAGTCCTTCTGTTTCATTACAAAGCACTTGTCATTCACCTAATAGAATTGCTAGGCCCATCCTAGTTCACATTGACCCAAATGCCACTGGAGTAAAGTTTGGCATTTCACAAGACCACAGGTGTCTCTGAATTGAGCTAATCTACAAAGACTGCAGCAGTACAGTTTTCCTACCTGCCTCTCAGTTCTGACTGTGGACAAGCAAATGGAAGCAACAGTGCCCACCTGGATCCATGTGCCTCCAAGTGAGTGTAATTCGGTGCTAGAGCAAAAGCCAATGGCATGCATTAGTTATTACTATAAGACGCAATTCTGCAATAAAATACAATACGGTCACTTTCAATATGTACTAAAAGTGATTTACCAGAGCTCATGGGGAGTGACTTAGATGACTATTTGATTACAATACATAGGATAAATCACCTTCATTTGAGGGTTAAATTATCCCATCTGACAACTCTAGATCAATTTGACAGTTAAAATCAGTGTCGCCACCCTCCTTACCCAAGGCACACTGAGTTTGTCCTGGTTCATGTGAGTGAAAAAAACAAAGCATACAACAGACCCTTTTCTTTTCCTTCCATAGCAATTTCCTATCCTTTATTCAGGGCTCAACTGAAGCCCCAGGTCCTCTGAAGCCATGTCTGAAAACATTAACCCACTCTACAGGGAATAAGTCATCATGGTAAATGTCTGCACTGCAAATGCAGAACAGTAAGAATTAAACTTCTCATAAAATCACCTTGTTTATGAATGATCTAGGATGAATGTATCCAAGAGAGATAGTCTTCAAATATGGCTGCCAATCACTCCTCCCCTTCAAGTACATGCATGCCATTCTGCCAACAATACTCTGAGTTTAATTTCCCTCCCCTTGAATCCGCATTGTCCATGTGACTTGCTTTACTTATAGAATTGACGGTGCACCAATTCCAGGCTAAACCTTAAGAAGACAAGTGTCTTAGTTCAGGCTGCTATAACAGAGTACAGCAGATGGAGATTAGACCATGAACATTTATATCTCATGTTTCTACAGGTTGGAAGTCTGAGATCAGTGTGCCGGCATAGTTGGGTTCTTGGTGAGAGCTGTGTTTCTGGATTTGTCCTCCCATGGCCTTCCTTGGTGCATGCATGCAGAGATCTCATCTCTTCCTCGTTTCATAAGCATTAATTTCATCATAAGTGCTCCAATGTCATGACTTCATCAAACTCTAATGACCCCCAGATGTCCTACCTCCAAACACCATCACCCTGGGGATAAGGGCTTCGACATAGCAATTTCAAGGGGACACAAACATTCAGTCCATAGCAGCAGGGATGCTTCCACTTTGGAGAACTTGAAATCTAGTCACCATGTAAGAATCTGGGTTAGACAATTGAGCAAGGAGAGGAGTTGTGAAGGTCTTGTGAAGGAGCCTTCCTGTACATCCCAGGCCCAGCTAAGTTCACAGCTGAATGCAACCACATAAATGACTAAGCTAACATTACATGAAATATAACTAACTGGACGGCTTACCCAGTCAACCCCTCAACTCATGGGAAATAACAAATTGTTATTGTTTAAGCTGCCAAATGTTGTGACAGTTTGTTATGAGAGAATAAAGAACTGACACAGCCTCTTTTCTCCTCGACAAAACTGAAACTTCTTCATGAATATATTAAAATAACTGGTAAAGACTAAGTGCTTTTTACATGATAGGCATTTTGTATACATGCTGTCATCTCATCCATATGACAGTCATGCAAGCTAAATATCATCCCCATTTAACAAATAGGAAACTGAGGCATAGAGAGGATGAATAGAGAGGTCAGGAGTTCAAGACCAGCCTTGCCCAAATCTTAGAGCTGTTTCTCAAGTCTGTCTGTATCCAAAGCCTGGGTTTTTACTCTCCTTTAATGAAATCTATGGTTCCGAAGTAAGTGGGTGGACATTTCTAAATTACATGCTTATTAAAACACCATGGCACAGAAAGATGTATCAGCCTTAGAGTCAGATAGCATTGGAACCAAATCCTGTCTCCAGCATGTGAGCCTCCCTTGCTCTCCTCTCCCACATGCTACATGGCAAGATTTTTATATTAATCCAAAGAGTCAGACTTCTTCATTATAAATATAGTATTCTCTACCCCTCCGAGATCGTGTGGTTTTTCCTCAGTTTCTCTTAATCTCCTGTTCTTTGATGCTGTGATTTATTTTCTTTGCTACTTTGACGCAAACTGTTTTAATGGTGTGCCCTTGGACAAAATGCTGACTCTTCCTAATATTTATTATTCTGGACCATCAAATGGATCCTATGATTCCCATCTTGCAGGGTCATGGAGAGGAATAGATCTGGTAATACAAGTAAATCCCCTGGCACTTAATAAAGGGCATTGGTGTTAGTATTAATATTGTTAGGCAGAGTGGCTGATTCTTATTCTATGAGGTTGAAGCCGCCTATTTCATGAGAAAGGAAAACACCACCAGAATTGCCTAAACATTTTTGGCAGCCAACTTGCCCGTCTAAAAAGATAGAAAGGGACAACTCCCCTGGTGACTAGACACAATGTATCAGTTCTAGGTCCAAAGATCAGGACAGTGTGCACAACAACCACCCTGCCCTTACACAGTCCTACACACAACACTTCAGTGTCAATAAAAGGCATGTGCTGAGGCCCTGACAAGGCCACATGCCACCACTACACTTACACCTTACACACTTCGCTACCTCCTCTCAACTTGACAATATCACCCCCAGAAAAAAAAAAATCACAAATCCAAAAAGGATGGTGTATTAGCCTGTTCTCATGCTGCTAATAAAGACGTACCCAAGACTGGGTAATTTATAAAGGAAAAAGGTTTAATGGATTCACAGTTCCACATGGCTGGGGAGGCCTCACTATCATGGCAGAAGGCAAAGGAAGAGCAAAGGCATGTCTTACATGCTGACAGGCAAGAGGGCATGTGCAGGGGAACTCTCTTTTATAAAACGACTAGATCTCATAAGACTTACTCACTGTCACAAAAACAGCATGGCAAAAACCTGCCCCCATGATTCAGTTACCTCCCACAGGGTCCCTCTCATGGACACATGGGGATTATTACAATTCAAGGTGAAATTTGGGTGGGGACACAGAGCTAAGCCGTATCAGATGGGCCACTGACCTCAAACACTATAGTGGATGTTTTTGGTGCCCCTTCCAGGTCTCCTTTACCTGGCAAGTGCACTCATCCCCCAACTGCTGCAGGTGTTGGCTGCTAATTACGCTGCACCTCATCCTTCTCTGCAGAATTGTCTTTAGCTAATGGGAGCCACTTCACCTGGAGACATCTGGGAGGTTACACCCAAGGCCAATAACCACCTGATGCAGGAGTATAAAAGCTTAGCCCAGGCCAGGTGCGGTGGCTCATGCCTGTAATCCCAGCAATTTGGGAGGCCTCGGCCGGACCACCTGAGGTCGGGAGTTCAAGACCAGCCTGACCAACATGGAGAAACCTCGTCTCTACTGAAAATAGAAAATTAGCCGGGCGTGGTGGCACATGCCTGTAATCCCAGCTACTCCAGCAGCTGAGGCAGGAGAATCGCTTGAACCCAGTAGGTGGAGGTTGTGGTGAGCCAAGATTATGCCATTGCACTCCAGCCTGGGCAACAAGAGTAAAACTCTGTCCAAAAAAACAAACAAACAAACTTAGCCCTGTTGCCTCAATGCAGAGCAAACTCTGTGTCACAAGTCATGCTCAGCTCCTCTGTGGATCAGGCTGAGCTAGACCTCAGCTATACCACATCTTTGCTTAGCTTCCCTGGCCCTGCTCTTCCTCCCTCACTTCCTTGTAGCTTTTCCCCAAAAGAACTCCCTCAACAAATCACTTAAAGAAGAATCCCCATCTCAGGCTCTGACTCTGACCCAAGACAATCATCTTGATGCCTTCAAGCAAAGGTAAGAAGACAAAATGCCTTCCTTACCCTTAAGAGGCTTCCTGTTCCCATATCAAATACTTTGGCTTAAATAACAGGTTAAAAACCAAAAAGTAGTCAAGCAAAGCAAAGCAAATGAGAGACTTCCTATGACAACATCAGCATTCAATACCCACAGCAGGCCACTCTGCTGGCTTCCCAACCTCACCACCACTCTGAAGAGTAATGGCCAACAAAGGAAATCACTTCCAAATGAAACTACAGGGGATGCAGTTCAAGAGAAAGGGAAAGCAGAATTAATGTTAGTTGATCATACCATGAAACCACAGGTTTGGTCTATGGAGTCGGGTGAGCAGCGGTTAAGAGCTCAAGCTCTGAAGTCACGTGACCTGGGTTTAAATCCCCACCCTTCCCCTTACTGGCTGGGTGACCTTGGGTAAGTTACTTAACATTTCTAACCTTAGTTTCCCCATCTAAATATGAGATTAATAATAATATGTATGTTCTAGGGTATTGCAAAATGTGAACCAATACTCACCTGGCACATAGCAAATGCCCAAGTACTATTAGTTATTATTATCTTGGATAAAACAATGTGCGTATCAATCAATGTAGATGAAGTTACAGAACAGTAAAAAAACACCTCCAAATTTCAAGTGCCTTAGTACACCACAAGTTATTTCCCTCTCACAGTACCTGCCATTATGTTGGCTGGGATGCTCGGGACCCAGGCTGACTGAGCAGCCACCATGTTGAATGTTATGGTTGCTGTGCCAGAAGTCACACATGCACACTTCAGTGCCCTGATCCAGAAGTCACAGACCTTATTGGGCTCACAGCTCACTGGCCAGACTTAGTCACATAGCCCCTTCCAATGGCAAGTGAGTCAGGAAATGTCACTCTATTATGTCCCAAATAAGAAATGTCTATCAGTGAGCACCATTAACGTCTTACTACACTGTGCTGAACATCTTACATGCATTCTTTGTTTAAATCTCACACCCATCCTAGGATGTAGGGAATATAATCCATTCTATTCTACAAATAAGAAATTGAGAAATAGAAAGATTAAGTAACTTCCTTAAGGGAATACCATTAGCAATGATAAGGGTTATTTTCTATTTGGAAATGAAAACATAGACACATAAAATCTCAGAGTTGGAAAAGGACATTTGAGGTCTATGAAATTCAGCCTCTCATCCAATGTGATAATCCCTTCTGTAAGTAAATCACAGGAGCATGAAAACAGGGTCAACCCTTGGAAAAAACAATCTGGCAGCCACCCTGGCCCCATGCTTGGATAGGGGGAGGTGCAGGGAGAACTGCACTGGTGGATTTTGATTTTACATGTATACGTATGAGCAATTTAGGGGGCTTCCCCATCACCAGATGAGGTCCTCTGGGCCTATACCCTTCCAGAGACAGCCATGCATGGAAGTGATGTTTTAAATTGCAAAATCCCACAGAGTGGGCACTGACAATGAATGAATACACAGCTCATAAAAGAACCAGGCTTTCTAGGAATTGTCTCAAATTCTCACAATAACCTTGTGGGAAGGTATTATTATCCCCATGTGGACTAATCAGGACACTGAGGTCAGAGACCAAAGTGATCTGGCTAGTCAGGGGCAAGGCAGGGATCCTAATACAAATGGCCCTCACCCAGGGCCTGTGCTGCAGCAGGGAAAGGCTCAGCTTAATCAGAACCCCTCCACTGTTCTGTGATTTGATGCAACTGCTCAAAATACTAATTCAAAAGCAAACATAATAATAAAACCCATACAATAATGACAAGTTAATTCACTATCGACATGCTTAGTGTTGTGAAGTCATGTGCTGCGTGGGAAGAAAAACCTCCAAATTGTTGAGTTTGTAAACTCTAGAGTTTACAGACAGGGAGAAAATAACTGAAACTAATGTTGACCAAATGGTTGGCTATTGGCCAAGCTTGCATGAGTTTGAACATAACTACCTAACATTTTCATTTAATTTTCATAATTTCTTCATGAACTTGGTCTTCCTATTATCCTCATTTACAGATTATGAAATCTAGACCCAGCGAGATTAAGTGAATTATCCAAGGTCACCCAGCTAAGAAGTATAAGCCTTCTCCACCAAGCTGCCTATCTCAGGGCCAAGGGAAGAAATCACTGACAAGAAGTTCCCATGGCAGGAGGCCCTGACTCCCTGTCTAATAACTCCCCTAATCCCAACCCTAATCCTGACTCCCCTTCTAGTAACCCCATATATAATAATATCCCTCCTGCGGAGTTTTAATTATTTCAGAGAGTTTTGTCTTTTCTTCATCATCCTCAGAAGGAGTCTGCCAGAGTTTTGCATTTTTCAACTAAGGAGGTTTTTTCATCAATTGAAGGCTCAAGATTTTTCCTTTGATTGTAATCCAATGTTCCAACTCAGGCCTTCTGACATCAGCTCCTCCCACCCACGTATCTCCCCATATGCTGATACCCAACCAACACCATCTGTAGGACCAAAGATGTTCCAGGTCCCTCTGGTCTGAAGAAGAACCCTGGCTCAGGAGTTAAGAAACTTAAGGGCCATTGAAAAAGCCAGCTTATGTCTTATAGTCCATTTAGACATTATTTCCTATTATTCATGCCACTGAGCCACTGTGGAATACTCCTGAGCATAGAGCAGACATACTGATAGGTAAGGAGGAGAATAAGGAAACATAGGTATTATAGATGCTGTTAGCCCTGGAGGGACCACGCCATCTAACAGAGCTATAACATAGGTCACTCAAGAAGCTTCCATTGAAGATGTCACTACCATTCTCCAGCGTAAACTGAATTTCCTCAGAGACTTACTGGTTCTCCACTTTCATTTATTCTTATACCCATTGGCCTAAGCTAATCAGTGTAGTTTATTTCCATGGGCACAGTTACTGATCTAGAAACAGGCAGGTAACTTAATAGGGCCAACGATAGAAAAGCCCAGGACTCTTTCTGATAATTCAGAAAAGTAACTGTTATATCTCCCCCTAGACAGAAGCTAAGTAAAGTAAGGGTTGGAGCTGCTGCATCAATTTTGTGATCATGAGGCAAGAGGAGGAGAACTAAGTTCAAAGAAGAGAACAGAAAACCCGGCAATATTACATGAGATCTTGTATCAAGGTATTCCTAGACCCAGAGCAACCCCTAGACTTTCTCCTTATGGGACCCTCTAAAATTTCCTTTGGCTTAAGGCAGTTTGGGTTGGGTTTTCCTGTCACTTATAATCAAAGTAACCCTGATAGAGTACCATAACTGAAAAAGGTGTCAGGGTCATAATGCCTGGTGGAAATACTAGAAATTGAGATCTATCTTTTCAATAAGCTCCTTATGTGTGTGTGCCTGCCATTGCATTCTATTTGCTTTTCAGCCTCTTGACCAAACCTGAGAAAAATCAGGAAGCAGACCCAAATTATACTGAACACTTTCTGCCTTCCTCATCTCAGGTGCCTTTGAATGCTAAATTCATATCAAGAGGTTAGGGATTTTCACCCCTTCATAGAAATAGCTAAATTGAACGAGAGAGAGATAATAATTTTGAATGCAAAGGAAGGGCAAAGGGGCAGTTATGGAGATGATGAGTCCACATCAGTGGTCTGTACATGTATCTCCCTTACTCCCTGACCACGCCTCTTTTCTCTCTGCTCTCATAGTGCCTTGTACATGTTAATCCTGTGACTTCAGGCAAGACACTTAACAAGACAGTGTCCCAGTTTCCTCACCTGTAAAACAGGGTTAAGAGTCTTATAGGCTTGTTGTGATAATGCAATGACTTCAGCACATAAAGCACATAGAATGGTACCTAGCATATAGAAACCACCATCTACGCTAGTACCTGTTCTTGTTAGTCTTAGAATTGGCATCATCATCCAGGTTGTGAGCTCCTTGGTAGGAAATGATATGACTTGCTTTTCTTTGTATTTGTAGCAACCAGCCTAGTGTCCAGCTTCGTAAGTATTTATTGAAGGCTGTCCCTTGGCAGGGGTTCTGCAAAGAGATTCATGCATTTATGTTTTATCCCATGATATTAAAATTGAATTTCTAACAGAATTTCAAGTCCTGAAGTAGGACATTATGGGAGAGATTCCTGGACCATCCTCACTCTGTTAGTTTCTATTAATAGCTGAGAAATAAACAAGTCAGGTAGAAGCTATTCCAGGACAGCTCTCAACTTGAGATGAAATCTCCAAACCACTCCACCAGAAACCATCTTCAACCTGACTTATGACTTTGCCTTCAAGTGTTTCTTCATTTCTCCAGCAATGCAGAGGGGAAGTGTACCAGGAATTCCCTCTCCTTCCTGCTTTGAAAACCATCACCCTCGTGAGAATTTTCTGAGCAAATAGTTGTCTTGCAGCTCCCTGAAATAAGCTATTCAGAGGCACCTATGGAGTGGGCTTGTCATTCCATCACTAGGCTGCAACCAAAGCAGCAAAGTGGTGAGATGTCAACTAGGTGTTTCTGTTTTCAGAGGAAAGGCACCCTGAGTAAAGATATTGTAAAGGAAAATTTGTTGCAAGGTAAATGACAGGAGGGAGGCAATTCTGATGGTGAAAGAGATTCACCACCAAAGAAAGCAAGCATTTTCATGTGATAAATTTCTCTTATATGTGGACTCCCTAGTTCCATGCAATGTTAACAATTTCTTCTATTCTCTTCTTGTTCTGACATATGCTTTGGAGATCAGAAGTGTAAACAGGTAATTCAGTTGAGCAAATAAATTGCCTCTCCTCCCTTCCAAGCTGTTAAGCAGGCACTTTTAGCATTGCATAGGCTTAGATCAGGTTTCCCAGAGGCTGGCAAAATGAGGATGGTAAAATGAGACCCTAGAGAAGCAGGGGAGGGTGTGGCACCTCCATCAGAATGTGGGAAGACTTGGACATGGTCTTCCCAGTAGAAACAGTTTGTTTCACATGAACTTGTTAAACATCTTCATGAGATGGAAATAAGGTAACTTCAGACACGTGGTGAGTTGACTACAAAAGAACCTAGTTCTTTCCTATAATTATTTCTAGAAATACCAACCCATGTCTATCCCATATAAGTAGAAGATTGAGAACTCAGGCCTGTTTCACGTCATTTCACTTGTGTTATTATCTCATTCTGCATTTGTTCAAATGCTATTTATGGAGGACCTCTCATATCCCATGCACAGTAAAGCAGCAATTATAAGAGTCCAGTGAGGGAGGAGCAGCACTGGAACATGGGGATGAACAAGATGGTGTGGGTTTAAGAGGAATTTGGATATAAAATCAATACGACTTCGTTGACTAATGGGATGTGTGAAGGCAGCACAGAGAGGCTGAGCAGCAAAATTAAAAAGAGAGGTAAAGATACGGAATCTGAGATTATTCCCAAGTGTGGCTGGGCATGGCATGGTGTTACACACACAAGAGAAGAGCCTGGATAGAGGAAAGCTTGAGAGGTGATTTCAGCACAGGGCTCAAAGAGTCAATGCCTAGGACTCCTGAGGGCCCTCTGAATCCTGGCTATAATTCTATCAATTGCCAAGTCTCTTCTGCAGCCCTTTGCACCTGCTAAATTCAATTTGGTTCAAACACAGGAAAAAAATGGCCTTCCAAAGCATAACCCCAGGTTTCTTTGCTAGAATAACAAAGCTTGACTATAAAATAATTCTATCTGAGGAAATAAGAGAAAAAACAACAACAACAAAAACACCTTGATAGGGGGCTTAGTAGCAGAAATTAAAGAAGCTTATACAAAGTCAAACAGGAATCAGTACATGTAGATCCCAGGCCAAACTCATGTCTCCTGGTTCCTCCTAGTGCAGTATTTTTTTTTCATTACCCATGATGCTTCTTTGCTTTTCTGGAAAAGAAAGAAAAATGAGCTCTCTGTTTTAATGGGCCAAGCTCTAAGCTTCCCACTCAGGACCTCAGGATATGCCTCCAGAAACAAAAGCCCTTTGAGCAAACCTAGGCATGAGTTGGTAGGAGTTAGTGAAACAACAAATGTCATATCTTCTTAGGACCATTCAAAAGGATCCCAGTCCCTAAGACCCTCTCTTTGTCTCCTTGTACCCTGCTTTATCACTGAGCACCTGTTGACTTTTAGGACCCGAGTTTCACTGGAGCAGGTAGCCAAGAGCTGACATCAATGGGCTATTAGAGTGCAGGGTATATGCAGCCTCAGACCAGTCAGGGAATCTTGGGATCATTTCCACTGACATGATCTGACCCTACCAGTTCACTGATTTCTACCTTAGTAAACTAAGACCCTCTCACCCCCACCTCCAACCTCTGAGGTCTAGGAGGACGCTATCAGCATGCAGCAAGGTAGTTTTGGGATCAGTGGGCACTGGTAATAAGACATAGCTGGCCAAAACATCTATTCCCAGGAACATCAGAAGACTGGCATCTTAACTTCTAACTCAGGCCTACCCACCCTCCACTGCTACCAGTGCTTGTGCTGTGAGGATTTCTGCTCCCCTTGCCTCTCTAAATCCTCTGCTATGGGACATTAGTGGGCTACCAACCATTCGTTCCCCTTCTTCTACCCAGATTTTCCTTTTGCAAAATTTATTCTCTATTAGTCTTACCTATGCTGTTTAGTAGAGGGTACAGAATAAACTGTCTCCTGTCTACCCCCAGCCACAGTTGTGGCTAATGAGAGAAAGTGGCCCCAGGAACTATGTAGGGGACTGAAACTCCCGCAGTCATCCTTCAGCTTCCGGGGGGGTAGGGTCCAGAGGACTTTAGGTAGCTGAATTGAGGATAAAGCCAACTCGGTAGGAGACACAAGACAGAAATATCCAGACCTTGGTCACATTGATCTTCTCAATCACATGAGCCAATAACCACCCCCTTGCTGTTTAAGCCAGTTTGGATTGGGCTTTTTTGTCATCTGCTCATGCTTCAAAGCCCATCTTAATTTCTACTTCTCCATGGGAGCCATCTCTCACCAAACTTCCTAGCCCTTAGCATGCACTGTCTTGTA
This sequence comes from Homo sapiens, assembly GCF_000001405.40. Taxonomy (NCBI): domain Eukaryota; kingdom Metazoa; phylum Chordata; class Mammalia; order Primates; family Hominidae; genus Homo; species Homo sapiens. The sequence continues at coordinate 78,406,088 of NC_000014.9, read as the reverse complement.
AAAGTCTTTCCTGAATGTCTTTTCTTACAGATGTGCAGTACAGTTGAAGTAAACAGTTTCCCTCATGATTCATCCATTCACTACCTGCAATGTTAGGCATGGTGCATAATATGTGAGTCTCGGTTTCCTCATTTGTGAATAGGATAAAATTATTTTCCCATCCAAGAGAAATAAACTAGACAATGTAACAGCACCTGCTATGTGGGTAGCAGAGTCAGCTACTTGGGGAACAGGGACTCCTGGGTTTGACACCCTGAGTATGCCAAGAATTCCATGCCGTACACATAGTTGATATTAAGTCCATATTTTTGTATGGGTTGAATGAAATGAATGTGTCCCCCAGCTCCAAGTCTGGGAATATTAGCTGAGCCAGGTCGACCCAGCAAGCATAGCATCTGTCCACAATCCCCTTGGCTCCCCGCCAGGCTCCCAGCCCTGCAGTTGCAGGAATTCATCAGATACCCGGAACCCCCCCGCCCCTTCCCCAGCATCCACTCTAAAGCCAATTCAAGTTCCAGGCAGCCTGTATAGCTTGTATATAAACTGTGGCCAGTGACAAACACTCTGAGATGAGGAGGGAATGATCAGTGATAATAGTGTACTTTTGCAGCTGAGAAAATAATAGAATATTTTATTAAGCAGGATCGGAAGGGAAATATGATCTTCCTGATTCAGTTTCAAATAGGGGAAAGAAAAAGTAAGCAAAGCACTGTGAAGCTATGACAGAGCAGCCCAGCCTATGGAATGGAGAAGAGCCACCCAATTATCTGCTTTATCACCTCCAAAGGGCAAAACATTCAACCCTCCATGTATGACTCAATCCCCTGCATGACTGTTATCTGCCCTTTGCTAGTTTTACCTCACTGGGACCCACAGCAGGGCCAGAACATTCATCTACTTTACTCTAGGTTTGTAGCATCAAGCATGAGATTAGTGGAAGAAGAGGTTAAAATAAATGCTTAAATGAAGTTACAGTAACCCTTACATTTCAGTTATCTGTAGTCCATGTCACTGTAGAACCACAGAAGATCAATTGCTGGATGAAGCCTATATATTTTGTCATTTTTATCCCTAATGATGTTAATTTTCATTAAACTTGTCCCATAAGCTGCCTGAAATTCTTCTGGAATCAAGTGAAACACAAGACAGAGATGAAAGTAGACAGACGATAGGCAGGCAGAGAGACCCTGTGTTTGTGTGTCCTTGTCTAATAATTCCACTTGCAGATATTAATCTACTATTTAACAGAACTCATTTCTTCATAATTATCTACCAATCAACATTACTCTCCCTTATTACTCCATCTTATCATTCTAAGCAGAACCCAGAATATCAATCCGAGCTTATCCCAAAAGTATGTATTTTGATACTAACATTTAATCATTGTACATTTATTGAGTATTCACTCTGATCCAAGCAGTGAATTGAATGAGGCACAGTCCCTGGTCTCAAGCCGATCACTAACAGCATAATAATTATCTCCAGGGTGACATTATGATTTCTGTTAGATTCTAGAGCAGTAAAACAGTTGTTTTTCCCATCATAGTTTCCAATTCCCTCATTCCTGACCTTTCCTTGGACATTCCCTTGCCCCCAAGAAAGCCGACCCAGGTGCCTCCAGAAATTGGGAGGCTGCAGGCAATATCTGGTGCACTAGGGGAATGTGTTTGTCTCAGCCCAGCTCAAAATAGTATCTGACAAGCCTGAATCACACAAGTTCTGAAAAACTCACAAGAAATAACCTAAGAAATCTATAGCTGCCTCCTCCAATTTCATTCCCTGTCTGGCTGCTTATTGACTTCTGCAGCCTGTATTGACAACATGCAACCCTGTTTCTGTCTGCCTGCTCCCATGCAGCGACAACTTAAAAAAAAAAAAAAAAAGGAAAATAGGGAACATCACAGCTATAACTCATGCCAAAGACCCTGTTCTGGGGCCAGGCATCGGCCTGGAGGCAAAATTTCCAAGAAAAATTAGAGATTTATTAGGAGAAAAATGCCTGAGTCCCCTTCCCTTTCTTTTGGTTATCCTTTCTCTTCTCTCAGGGCCACAGAGTTCATTTGGCTACTTCAAACCTCTGCCCCACATTTAAGCTTCCAAATACCACTTTGCACCAATAAAATACATCCAATGTAAGGCAAATGGGGAACAGCCCACCCCCACCGCAGCTCACATATCTTTTCTTTTTAAAGGTGAGCCGAAAGACTTACCTGCCAAGCTCGAGTTAATTTCACTGCAGGAATGGAAGTGCAGAGTGCATATCCCTGAGAAAGCACAACCTCAGGGGGCAGAAACAACGAAGAGAGGGACCACCACATTCCTCAAGCCCTCCAGTCCTGTGTCTCTCCCGGAGCAATTGATAATCTCACTAACACCTACAACAGTGTGCAGGAAGCTGCCTTCCTAACACCGCCCTCGGTGTTCGTGATTTTGCAACTCTCTCACCCTTCAAATCTTAGTGCAGCACCGGCAATTAGAAACCTGCACACATCTGGGGCCCGGGACAGGGTGTTTTGTGCATACACTGGGAGCTTCAGCCAGCAAAGAGGACTCTCAGCAGCCTCATCCTCTCCCAGGGGATTTATTTGAATCTGCAGATTGTGTCATGCCAAACCTATCTCTTTTCTCAGTGTGAATCACTGACTCAGGAAGTCACATGGACCTAAGATTCCCAGAATGCGAGCTCTGCTCTGGGAAATACCAGGGGTATCTACTCTACTATTAGCCACAATCTTTAAATAACTACTTTGATCAGAATGCATGACTAAAGAGGACATTTTGAAGCTAAGTTGCTACTGCAGTGAGCAGAAAAGAAGTCAGGGCGAAAGCCGGCAGTGTTTCTACAGCAGTTACCTGGGGCCCCTTCTTCCTATTGGCTGATTCATAGTTTCAAGGTAGCTGCAAAAGTTTGGAATATTCTGTAGTAAATACAGGAGTCTTGAAATCCCCTTATTTCAGATCCAAAACATAGCCTTCCTAAATCCTTCACCCAATCCCACGGTTAGCTGAACAACTCAAAGATATTTTGGATTGAACCTGTCATTTCTTTGCTCCCACCTCAAACAAGAAGCAGAAATCCGGGGGCAGAATACTATATATGGAGTTGTCTTCTTATGATGCCAACAAATATAGACTCAGTTGTTACCCATAACCTCTCACAGGGAGAGAGCATCATTTGTAAAATTACTCCTTAATAGTGTTAATATTAATAATAGAAGCAGCTGATCTTTATTATGTTGTAAATATGATTCATAGTACTTTTCATGCATTATCTTATTTAGTAGCCCCCAAATCGTATAAGATATGTCTAATCAGTATTCTCTCCATTTTAGAAATGAGCACAGGTGATGTTAGAGATACTAGGTAACCTGTCCAAAGTCACATGGTTAAGAGGGGATTTCAGGATTAGACCTATGTGATTTCAGAACAAATGACTTCAACTGCTCAGCTCTACTACACTAAGTAGGTGCTCAGAGTAGACCCTAAACTGTTTACATCTTCATATTTGAAATATGTGACCATTTATGTGTGATTCCACTTTACTCCTCTGCTATATACAATGGCTTGTTAAGGACATCACCAAACGCTCCAAAGTCTTAGAAGGAATGGTAAAGATTCTTAAAAGAACAAACGGCTTTTAAGCACTTGGGCAGCACCTACTCACTTATAATTCATATAAATAGGAATTTCCTAAGAATTATTATATATTCAATAAAAGACCCATCAATCCACTTAGTAAATCTTTGTTTTCACTACTGAATGTTCTTGAAGGTGATTTTTTAAAATTCCAAGTAATCACTTATTCTGACTTTTCACTAATTCAGACTTCTTGCTATCAAGTGAAAAGGTCGTTGCATGTGGATCTTTTCTTCAAAGATGCTAGTTTATTAACACACATAACATCCTCAAGGGCAGATAGAAAGTACCATTTTCCTCATTTTTTCAATATTCAGAAGAACACACATAGATCCTATGCAGGTTAGTGGTGCATAGCACACAATGTACAATGTGTAATAAACCGCACCATTCAGAACAGTTAATCATCCATTCAGTGATTCATCACTCACCACATGCAGTGAGACAGAAACACCATTTTAAAGCATGCAATAATTCCCTTTTTAAAGCTGTACAACATTGGAATTCAGCAAACCTGGAATCGAATGCAGGCTCTGTATCTTACTAGTTTGATCTAGTCAAGGCATTAAAAATTATTAAAACTTAGAAACTAGTGAGTATGTTCCTCTATTGTGTATTGCCTTTTTAACTATAATGAATAGTTTAGCTGGTTAGATCAAGAAGTTAAGTATGAGTTATAGATTGAATCCTTATGTGGGCCAGCCAGCTTTATACAAGTTAGAAAATGGTCCATTGCCAGAGACTGGCTATTTGTTCAAGCAAAGGAGCATAATATCTGCCTTTGATTTATGAATTGAATGTTTATGTCCCTTCCAAAATTTATGTTAAAATTTAATACTCATTGTGGTGGTATTAAAAAGTGGCCTTTTGGGACCCAACTAGTGCCTTATAAAAGGTCTGGAGAGAACTAACTTAGGCCTTTTTGCTTTTCCACCTTCCACTGTTGAAATCTAATCCTCATTGTGATGGTATTAAAAAGTGGCCTTTGGGCCAGACGTGGTGGCTCACGCCTGTAATCCCAGCACTTTGGGAGGCTCAGGAGGGCAGATCACCTGAGGTCAGGAGTTCAAGATCAGCCTGGCCAATATGGCAAAACCATGTCTCTACTAAAAATACAAAAATTAGTCAGGCATGGTGGCGGGTGCCTGTAATTCCAGCTACTCAGGAGGCTGAGGCAGGAGAATCACTTGAACCCAGGAGGCGGTGGCTGCAGTGAGCCAAGATCACGCTATTGCACTCCAGCCTGGGCAACAGAGAAAGACGCCATCCCAAAAAAAATAAAAAGTGGCATTTTGGGACCCCACTAGTGCTTTATAAAATGACTGGAGGGAACTAACTTAGACCTTTTTGCTTTTCCACCTTTTACCGTGTGAGGACAGAGCATTTGTCACCTCCAGAGGATTAGCAAGAAGGCACCATCTTGGAAGCAGGGAACAGGGTCCTCACCAGATGCTGAACCTGCCAGCACTTTGATATTGGACTTCTCAGCCTCCAGAACTGTGAGAAATAAATTTCCCTTGTTTATAAATTCCCCAGTCTCAGGTATGTTATTATAGCAGCACAAACAGATGAAGATGGTTTTCATCATAAAAATTGGGGGAGGGTGCAGAGGAGAATGGGAAATGGTGAGGATTAATCATGATAATCTATCACTGGTAATCAGAGAGAAACCGACTGCATACACCCAGCCAGGCAGTCATTTAGTGATTTTCATAAACACAGTGGAGAGTGTATTTCCACTTTGAAGACAGAGACCATCAATTACATACTAAGTCCATAACTTAGAGAATTGTCAGGTTTAACTTAATAATGCCTATACAGCATCATGCACAGTCCAGGGAATAAGTGCTCAATAAACACCTTGAAGATCCTTCACTAGCTCACTGGAATCCAACCCCCTTGAGGATTCTCAGGCCCATGTATTTTTGCGGTACCTTTTAGAAATATCCGCAATCCGATGAATCAAACTAAATACTTGGGAGTTAATAGACTGACAGCTAGGTAAAGTTTCTATAAAAGATGCCCATAAAGCTCAAGAAGAGAAAATAGTTGCCTATGGTTGGTTTAAGTCTTAAAAGTACCACCAGTAAAAACACTGTCAGATAAAGGAAGACAGCTGAAACTTTACTTCGAGTTTATAGAAATTTTGAAACTAATCTTTCTGACTTTTGCCTGCTGTATTAGTAATGGAATGGATGGAGGGAATAACTACTACTTCTTGGCTCCAAGGTCAACTCATAATAGGAGACTGCTGTATTTTTTCTATGTCTGAGAGAAATTTCTCTTAAAGGGGAATAATGCCTTTTTCTGCCATGGCTGCATCATCCCCTTTCAATATTTCTAATAGAATGAAGTAAAATGTTTTACAGTTATTTCTCTGCAAATACTGAAAGAAAAAGAAAACAAAACACAGACTGGTCAATTATTTATTTTCTGTTACAATAGATATTGTAAAAACAAAGAATAGTAAATGTAGTATAGATAAATGATGTGAGAAAATTTCCCCTAGTTACATAGCTAATTCTAGTTTCCCTCTGACACTATTAGGATCTTGAGGGAGGGGCCTCTCTGCTGCCTTGCATTTTTCCGGAGGACTTTTTCTACCATTCTACAAAACAGAGCAACTTAATGGCTAGAGGTGGCAGTGACACAAGCAATTGAAGACTATGACAGTGTTGTGAATTTCCCAAGGATTCAGCCAGACTAGCGAATAGCTAGAATGGATAGCAAATAAAAATTACTGTCAAAAATAGCCAATGCATCACTAGTTATTAAGGGCCAACTAACCACAAATTCACCAGGCAGCAGTTAGACATTGAGTATGGAAGGGTAGAGCAGAGTAGTTAGAGGCTGGTATTTAA